>NT_187548.1:0-179043 GCF_000001405.40 Homo sapiens | reverse complement strand
GAATTCCCCTGCGCTGAGTCATCTCAACCTTGAGCCCGTCCTGGGGCGGAGGCACCATTGTTCTCCCAACTTCGGATGTGAGGAGGCTGAGGCCCTGGGAGGATTTACCTCGGCAAGGGGGTGCAGGACAAGTGCATCAGTCTGCTGTTGGGTCAGTAACACTGCGTAACAAGTCGAGCTGCAGTTACTTATCCCTGCTCACTGTCAGGGCCAGCTGGTCTAGGCTTATCGGCCCTTCTGGGCCGTGCTCTGGGCTGAGACCTCTCTCCAGGTCTCTCACCCTCCAGGGGCCGGCAGCCTTACCTGGGATGTGTTTCTTTTCTTTTCTTCTTTTTTTTTTGAGACGGAGTCTCGCTCTGTCACCCAGGCTGGAGTGCAGTGGCGCAATCTCGGCTCACTGCAAGCTCTGCCTCCTGGGTTCACGCCATTCTCCTGGCTCAGCCTCCTGAGTAGCTGGGACTACAGGTGCCCGCCACCACGCCCGGCTAATTTTTTGTATTTTTGGTAGAGGCGGGGTTTCACTGTTTTAGCCAGGATGGTCTCGATCTCCTGACCTTGTGATCCGCCCGCCTCGGCCTCCCAAAGTGCTGGGATTACAGGCGTGAGCCATCGCGCCTGGCCCCTGGGGTGTGTTTCTTACAGTGACAGCAGAGGCCAAGCCCAGCCTGCTTGAAATCCATTATTGATCCACTGTTGATCCAGAGCAGAGCATGCTTGTGTCCTCGGAGGGGTGGAGGGGGAAGAGAGCAGGTGTTTGCTGAACAATAATCCAAGTACCCCCCATGATCTCGAGGCAGAGGGAATGGAACCCAGCCCCCAGCAGCAGTGTCGCTGTGGCGCTGTGGTGGCACCCTGCCTGCTCTCCCACCACCCTTCAGCAGCTCCTCTCCAAAGTCTGCCCCTCCAGGACCCCGTCACGGGGTAGGGGGAGGAGGCGTCCCATCGTCCAACGTACAGTTCAGTAAATGGTGGGGAGAAAGGGTTAACATCCTCTCTCCTGCCCCTTGCCTCCACCCATCTCTGTCTCTCTCTCTCTCTCTCCCTTCCTGTCTCTCTCTGTCTCTCCCTCCCTCTCTCTGTCTCTGTCTTTCTGTCTCTATCACTCATCCTGTGTCTTCTCTCTGTCTGTTTTTCTCCCTCCCTCTCTCTGTCCCTCCCTCTCTCTGTCTCCATCTTTCTCTGTCTCTATCACTCTCCCTGTCTCTCTCCCTCCCTCTCTGTGTCTCTCTCTCCCTCTCTTTCTCTGTCTCTGTCTCTGCTCCCCACTGCACTTCCATCACTCCTCACTCCCAAAGGCTCTCCCGTTCCCTGGTCACCTACCTTGTTGAGGCTCCCCCAGGAGGGCCTCCAGGTCTGTGGTGAGACCCCAGGGATCTGACAGCAGGTGGGAGTGAAGTCATGGGAGCCCAGGTGCGGGTGACCCCTGGAGGTGACCCCTGAGTCCCTCTGACCTGGCTGCAGAATGAAGGCGGAGGTGCCTGCATGGGGCCAGACCACCCTCCTGGCCCTTGCAGTCAGTCCCCCACAGAACTTGCAGGAAAAGTGGCGAGTCTTACTGTTTGCAGATCAGACCTCAATTTTGCAAACTGACAACTGAAAAAATTAGGGGCTATAAGTAGGTTGTTAGTCAAAGAGATTAAAGTTGTCATTACAAACAGTGGAAAACAATGACACCAAGAGGCCAAGGCTGTTTTCAGGGGAAACTGTATAAGCTTCACTGTTTTCTCCATTTAGCAAGATAAACAAAAAGCATGAAGGAGTACTCAGATCAAGATGGGAGGAAAAACCGTCTTGAAACAAGAAAGTGATAGAAGCAGAATTTAAGACCTGGAGAGGAGGATAAAGCAGGAACAGCGGTTAGCCTGTGCTCAGCCTCCTGATGTCTGCAGCCATCTCCCCACTGAGGGACGCGCGTGGCCGGTGCACCTCTCCCCTGTCCTCAGCCACTCGGCGTCCACAGCCCTTGTCCTTCTTCCCATCCACTGCTCAACGTGGAGAACTTACGGGAGCCAGGCGGCATTTTTCTGTCTTTAGCATTTCATAAAAGAACCTGGATTCTTACAACCTTTCTCTCCTGCGGAGGCGTCAGACGATCAGAGCCCGTTGGGCCTCCTGTGTCTCCAGTCCTGTCTTCGGGAGGCATTCACCACAGTCCTCCCGGGACACATGCAGCCACTGTCCACGGGAGGCCAAGGTGGGCAGTGGCCGCAGTGAGCCCCATCGTTCAGGCTGACTCAGCATGGCTAGAGGCTTCTAAGGGGCTCCAGGGCCTCCCAAATTTCTGGCAGCCTCAAACCCAGGGACAGGGTGGGCAGAGGGTGTGGCTGAATGGCAGATATTGGGGCATTTGGAAATGAAAGCTGGGGACAGGCTGCCTTTGGGGCAGGAGTCCGGAGGAGCTCTCACTTGAGGAGCCTGAACAGGGGAGGCGGAAGGCCGGGAGGTGAGAGGATCTGAGTTGTGGGACCTCCTTCCTCCTCAAGTCCGTCCCAAGCCGCCTCCGGGTCTCAGGGGAGGCGTCCAGGGTCGGCCTCATGGGGTAGAGCAAGAGGCAGCACTTCAACTCCCCAGGCGGCACAGTGCTTCCCGGAGACACCAGAACCACCCTCACTTGGGTCCAGGCCACACACTCAGTTCCACCAGCAACACAGCCCTGGATATCGCCCTGGAATTTCTAGGAAATTCCAAAACAAGAACAAAGGGGTGAAAAGAAAACAGAAGAGGTAAAAATGACAAAAAAGGACAACGATATCATTACTTACAGGTTAAAAAAATTCCTTGCACGCCGGGTGCGGTGGCTCACGCCTGTAACCCCAGCACTTTGGGAGGCCGAGGTGGGCAGATCACTTGAGGTCAGGAGTTCGAGACAAGCCTGGCCACCATGGCAAAACCCCATCTCTACTAAAATACAAAAATTAGCCGGGCGTGGTTCGCACCTGTAATCTCAGCTACTCGGGAGGCTGAGGCAGCAGAATTGCTTGAACCTGGGAGTTGGAGGTTGCAGTGAGCCAAAATCGCACCACTGCACTCCAGCCTGGGTGACTGAGCAAGACTCAGTCTCCAAAACAAAACAAAACAGAACAAAAATTCCTTGCAAAATGCGAGAGGTTGAACTGGAAATGTATTTGAATAATAGGATTTAGAGTTCTGCAAGGTAGAAGATTACAAAAGAAACACACAACAGCCAAAGGTGTTTCATCCTGTTTTTACATGTCAGTCCAGTAGTGACAAGAATGTGAATACACACACATAAATTAATGGAAAAAATGTGCAGGACCTGGGTGAAAATATTTGACACCATAAAGATGTCAGTTCTCAGCAAATTTATTTATACATTTAGTGACTTTTCAACCAAATCAGAAATGTATTTGGGGGGAACGTCCAAAAATGATTCAAAAGTTCATCTTGGAAAAAGGTGTGGGGAGGTGGGAACAGGTGTGAGAAGGTTGAGCAGGTGGGAAGAGGTGTGGACAGATGTCAGCAGGTGTGAGCCAGTGTGGGCAGGTGTGGGCAGGTGGGAACAGGTGTGAGTAGATGTGAGCAGGCTGGAACAGGTGTGGACAGATGTGTGCAGGTGTGAGCCAGTGTGGGCAGGTGTGAGCAGATGAGAACAGGTGTGAGCAGGTGTGGGCAGGTGGCACAGGAGTGAGTAGGTGTGGGCAGGCTGGAACAGGTGTGGACAGATGTGTGAAGGTGTGAGCCAGTGTGGGCAGGTGTGAGCAGATGGGAACAGGTGTGGGCAGGTGGGAACAGGTGTGAGTAGATGTGAGCAGGCTGGAACAGGTGTGGACAGATGTGTGCAGGTGTGAGCCAGCGTGGGCAGGTGGCACAGGGGTGAGTAGGTGTGAGCAGGCTGGAACAGGTGTGGACAGATGTGAGCAGGTGTGAGCCAGTGTGGGCAGGTGGGAACAGGTGTGAGTAGATGTGAGCAGGCTGGAACAGGTGTGGACATATGTGTGCAGGTATGAGCCAGTGTGGGCAGGTGTGAGCAGATGGGAACAGGTGTGGGCAGGTGGCACAGGGGTGAGTAGGTGTGAGTGGGCTGGAACAGCTGTGGACAGATGTCAGCAGGTGTGAGCCAGTGTGGGCAGGTGTGAGCAGGCATGCCTGCCGGTGCCACATGAGTGGAGGTGGGGCGATGGTGAGAGGATGTGCTGAAGAAAGGAGTTCTCATCCTCCCTGGTCTTTCCACTGGTGTTAGCTGTGCCCTTGAGACCCAGCCTCTGGTGATTTCTTATCCATAGCACCACAGACATGGGTGAGGCGTGTTTCTCAGCCTTCTGCACACGAAGGTGTGGCCACAGGACTAAGTTCTGGCTAACAGGATAAGCGAAGGTGCTATGTGCACTCCTAGGCTTCCTAGGCTGTGCTCTGCGAAGGAGTGGCTAGCTACCTTTCCCGTTTCCTCACTCTACTGCTGGGATTCAGATGTGATGGCTGGACCAGCAGCAGCCACCGTGGACGACGAGGGCAGAGTATGACTGGAGGCAGCACAGCTGACCACTTGCTCCCTGTAAGTCACTGTCTAGATGTCACCTGAGGCCCTCCCCACACCTCAGAGCTCTTACCCTTGCCTCCCTCTAGAACCTACACTTCACGGAGGCAGGGGTTCCCTTCTGTCACCTGCAGGGCCCGGCACAGGTTAGCATTCATAAATATTTATTGAATCTGTGAATACATATTGTAAAGTGCTCAATACTTCCACGCAAGGTGGTGGCAACAGCATCATTAGAGGGGAGGAAAGAGCCAGTTGCAGAATTTGTGCAGCTGCGGTGGTTGCAGGAACCCCTGAAGAGCAGGCGGGGTCTCCCAAGACTTCTAGGGTCCGCGGCTCCCAGCGCCTCCGCAGCCAGGCTGGCCTCCGCCTTCCACCCTGGCTGCCCCGGAGGCCTTTCTCCCCAGGTGGAAGTCCCAGGAGGAGGCCTCTGCCTCGCACGCAGGCACGGCTGAACCCTGCTTGGCCAAGGGCTGGAGTCTGGGGATGGGGGAGGTGGAGGCCCCAGATCAGGGCGCCCCTCCCCACGGACCCAAAGGCCAGCGAGACCTCCACCCTCACCGGCCCCCTGGTCCCGGCCCTCGGTGGGCGTCGCCAGAGACCGCGGGCTGCAGCGTTGCTGCCAGGGTTGGTCGTCGTCGGTTCCAGGCGGCGCAGAGCGAGGTCTGTTCCTCCCCTCAGGCTTCTGCACCGCGCGCTGACCCGGTCGCCCGGCTGGGGCGTCTCCAAGGTCACGCAGCGAGAGCCGAGGCCGCTCTTCGTTCTTCGGGGGCCGAGGCCGTGGTCCCCCCGCGGGCAGGGACCGCTGCCGAGGTGTCAGCCGGAGTCCGCCTCGCCCTCCCGGCCCCTCCCCGCGCCGCGCGGCCCCATCCCCGGCGGTGCGCTCGGTCCCTCTCTCCCCCCCGGCCTCCCTCCCTTCCTCCCGGCCTCCCGCGCCCGCCCCGCCGGCCCCGCCCTCCCCGCGCTCAGGTCCCCGCTCCCCGCAGCCGTCGCGGACACCATGTCCCAGCGCTTCGTGGTGACCCCCGCGGCGGGGGGTGCGGGGCCCGGGGCCAAGGAAGGCGACAGCCAGCGCCCCACCCCGAGCCCCCGCCGGGCCCCCGACCCCGGCCTGGACCCCGCAGCCGCGCCCGAGCCGCCTGACGAGGACCCGCTTCCCATTCTGCTCTACTGCCGCGAGCCCGGCCGCTACGGTAGGTGCGCGCAGGTGCCGGTCCCCTCGAGGGGCGCAGGTGGGCGGCGGCGGCCTGGCGGGCCGGCGGGGGTGGGGCTCCCGGTCAGCCCGGGGGTCGGTCCCTGCCTGGGGTCCCCCCAGCCCAGCGGAGCCCCGCCCCTGCCGCCCGCCGCGCGCTCCGGGGACCTGGGGCAGTTCCCTGCGGGGATCCCGCCCTGTCCGGGGCCTGCAGGTGACACCGAGCCGGGGCAGGGGCCGCGGGGATGGGCCGACAGCTCCCGGGGCGCCCTCTGACCTCGCTGTTCCCGCGGCTGCAGAGTCCAGACGGGGTCACTTCGCGGGGAGGGCGGGGACCAGGCAGAAAAGGGGCCCTGTTCTCGTCCAGGGCTGCCTCTCTCGGGACCACGGCGGGTCCCTGAGGCCTTGGGCGGGGCTGTGATCTGATGATTTATAGCGCGGGAGGGTGGCAGGGGTCTGGCCCGGCAGATCTGGGAAGCAGTGGGGGTTCGTCCCTGCGGGGAGCAGAACCGTGTCCTCCTGACCACTCGCTGCTCACACGGGGGTCCCGAAGCCTGAGGTGGGCGAGGGGCCTGGGAGGGCGGGGCGGGGGCGGGGGGAGGCAGAGGACCCAGAGCCAAGCCCGCTTCCAGTGGGCTGAGGAGGGCCCTGCCTGGGACCATGGAGTGCCCCCCGCCAGCCTTGGCCACACAGAGGCCACCAGGCCTGGACCCTGGCTTGGGCTTAAAGCTCGTGGGCCCCGAGGACAGATGTCCCTGAGCTGTCACTCTCTCGTGGGACCTGGGTGCCCCGAGGGTCCATCTGCTGTTCCCGCCTGGCATGGCCAGGGTAGGCTGCTCTGAAGACCTGCGGTTACTGCGATGTCTTGCCCTGTGAGGGGCCGGGGATGAGGCAGGTCCCAGGCAGAAGGGCTCCGACGGGCCCTGGGGGACCCAGCTCACGTGTGTGGGGGCCGTGCGTGTCCGTTTCGCCTGTTCATGTATGTCACACATGTGAGAGTCCACAGCGAGGGCAGCCTTTACACGCGATGGCCCAGAGGAGCGAGCATCTCAGGCTCCTCAGCACGTCTCTGTGCTGACCTCCTGCAGCACTGCCGGGAGCCATGTGAGTGTCCACGCCTGTGTGTGTCCGTGTGTGTGTCTATGTGTGTGCTGTGTGGTATGTGTATATGTCTATAGTGTGATGTGTGTATATGTGTGTGTATGGCATATGAGGTGTGTGTGTCTATATTATGTGTAGTGTGTGTCTGTGTCTAGATGTGTGTGGTGCATTGTATGTGTCTCTGTGTGTGTGTGTGTGTGTGTGTGTGTGTGTGTGTGTTGCGGACACCAGTTGTCCAGGACTGCATGGATTGGTACAGGGGTGTGGTGGGAGCTGTGGTCTGTGTCTCAGTTGGATTCGGCTCAGTGCCCTAGATAGGTTGTGGACACACACGCTTTGGAGACAAGGTTAGGGTTAGGGTTGGGATTAGGGGTTAGGGGTTAGGGTTAGGGTTAGGGACACAAGCCTGTGGAGATGAGGTGGACGGGACACTTGTTCCTGTGGGTTAGGGTTAGCGTCAGGAACACATGCGTGTGGAGATGAAAAGGATGGGACACTTGTTATTCTCGGTTAGGGTTAGGGTTGGGAACACATGCGTGTGGAGATGAGATGGACGAGACACCTGCCCTTCTAGGTGGCAGCTGTGGCTCTCGGGTCCAGCCCTGTCCTTCTCCTGAGCCTGGAGTCATTTCTTGGACTCCAGGGTCATGCCCTGCAATGTCTGATACAGGATGCTGTGGTCTCCTCCCTAAAGGAAGACCCTGTCTTCAAACAGCTGCTGTGTGGCACTCCCCAGATGCACACAAAGTTTTCTCTCTAGTTCTGAAGTCAGCCTGCTCACCAGGGTGCACGTTCCTCTTGATTTTCTCTGTGGAGGCCAACAAAGGAGCTGGTGATTCTGCAGGTCGCCGGTTAGTGTGAACTAGAGCGCCAAGTCAGGGCTGCAGGGTTCTCGGGCGTCCTCAGGCCTTGTTTGTTCCGGGGGAAATGGTTTGACAACACGGCTTGTGGCAACAGGGGCTTCCCCATGGGCTGTTCCTTGGCTCTGTAGTGCCAGGGCCAGCACCCCAGGCATGGACAGGGTCCTGAGTCGGGCCGACCCTACTGGTCTCCTCCACGCCTCATTCTCCTTTCTAGGGAGCCTTGGCCTCTCCTCCGGGTGCCCAGCACACTGGCCCATGGACCCCCCCAGAGGCCCCTGAGGAAAGCGTGTGGGGGCAGGTGAAGGTCTGAACTCATCTGTCCTTCCTGCTTCAGGCTGTGAATGTTTGCACATTCATGTGGGCATGGAGGGAGGTGTTGCCTTAATCCTGGATGGAGCAGGTGGGAGACCCCGTTCAGGCCTAGCATTCCCCCACCCACCTCATCTCCTCTTTGGGGTGGGTGCTTGGAGGCTGGGCTGGACCGCCCAGGGACTGGGCAAGCCCGTCCCTCCTCCCACGTCAGCACCCGGGGGTAGAGACCCTGTGCCCACGGCCATGCGGCTGCCTGGCTGCCGTGGACAGCTGGGCTCCAGTCCTGTGGGGGTTGGAGGAGGATGGCTCCAGCCAACCATCAGCTGAATGATTTTGTGTCGTGCCCGCTACATATGAACAGAAGACCTATTATTTAACAGTGCCATTAAGACAATGTAAACCAAGTTTAAAAAAGCAAACAAACATTTTATTGGCATGCGTTGGGCGCCACAGGAATTGCATGCCAGGCGGGCCATTTGTCCTGGGCTGACCTTCCCTTGCAGATGTGTGGCCTGGTGATCAGATGAACTTTCTAATCCTCCAGAGACAGCTCCTCTCTGCTCACAGGCCCCAGGGATAAGTCAGTAATCCCCGCAGGCCTCCCCCGTGTCGGTCATCCCTCAGTTTTCAATGCAGGAATCCACACCGACTTTGTACTCAGTTGACTTTGCTGAGAATGGCTGGGGTGTGTCGGTGCTGAGGCAGTGCATGGTCCGGGGGGCGTCTCCGTTCTGTAAGGGAGTCGCCCTTCTCTAGCTTGGGGGTCTCCGTTCTCTAGCTTGGGGGTCTCCCTTCTCTAGCTTGGGGGACTCCCTTCTCTAGCTTGGGGGATCTCCCTTACCAGGGAGGTCTCCCTTCTCTAGGGGATGGGTCCCTTCTCTCTGCCACAGGATGTAAACATGCCATTGGGACTCTCGCCCTGTGCCAGCATCCCCCTCGGTCCTGCTGGGTGAGCCCACGGGCACAGGCAGGTCTGACAGGGGCTTTCCGGCTATGTTTTTGCATCAAGGAGGGTGGTGCCACTTCCTGCTCAGCAGGGAGCAGCCTGTGGCTTCTACACTCAGTTGGTGGCCGGCCGCAGAGTCAGCCTTGCAGGCATGACTGCCCCCTGCACACTGTGGCATCTTCCGTGGGCACAAGGGTGGGTGGCCGGGTGTGCAGGGCAGAGGGGAGATGAGCTGGGGAACACCAGACGATCGCACAGCCTCCTAGTCCTGTGGGAGGGTCCAGCTGGGAGGTGATGGGGCTGGCCATTTCACAAAGCAAAGGAGAGGGGAGGGGAGGGGAGACAGGGAGCACCAGGCAATGGCAGAGCCCCCTGGCCCTGTGGGAAGGTCCAGCTCGGCATTGATAGGACCATTTCACAGATGGTTCCAGAGGCTCCAGAAGGTGAATGTGACTGCACCCTCTTTCCCAGTGAAGGGATGCCGATGACAGCCCCCATGTAGCTTCCTCTGTGGGACGGTTTCAGCGGGGTCCCAGATCCAGCTATCAGGACATGGCAGGATTCGTCACCTGGCGTGCCCCCAGACCCGGAAGGGATGAGGAAAGGTAGGTTCCCAGCCTGCAAGGAGAGCCGTGTGCAGGAGGCTGCCCAGAGGACAGGACGTTCAGGGAGGTCCAAGTGGCTCAAGGCCACAGCTGAGGGGGAGCACAAGCTGTGCGCCCCTCACCACCCACCCCCTGCCCCCCGCCTCCCGGGCTGCACTGAGCCTGCTCTAGAGGATGGGCAGGCTGGAACTCAGGGTCCCTCAGCCTGTCGGACCCTTCTGGCACCGGTTGGTTCTGGTGGTTTTCACCCCTGGCACTGGGACAGAGACCAGTTCTGAGTCCCTGATTAGAGGGTTGGGCCTTTTGTTCCCTGCAGCTGTTGTTATGGCTGGTGGGGCCATCAGAGCCCTACAGACGCTCATAATTATACCTGGAGGGTTGTGTGCAGCCCAGAACACTCTGGGAGGCCAAAGGAACCCTCCCCTAGTGCTGGGGCTGGCAGAGGCCGGGCCCCTGCAGACGCCAGCTTAGCAACGGCGCCCACTGACATCTTCAATGAGATGTGTGCCGAGGCCAGGCTGAGGTTTCTTTGTGTGTCTCTGTGTGTGAGTGGATGTCTGCATCTCTGTGGAGCGTGTTGGGTTTTTGCCGCTTAAGGAGAAGGTGAAGAGTTCGTTGCCTGAGCCTTGGAAACTGCTCTGGCTGGGAAGCAACGCTCATGGTAGAAGGCGCCTTTGCAAGCCTGAGCTTTGTGAGCTGGGATCCCGGGGATCTGGAACAGGAGGATCCTTGGGTACCACCCATGGGCCCAGACCCTGCTGGCACAGCAGTGAGGCTCTGGCCCCGCCATCTCCGTCCAGCTCCCAAGGCCGCCCTCCCCATCCGTGGACCACAGGAGAGTGGGCTGCCCCCTCAGCCTTTGCCTTCTGATGGGGGAAAGCCTCAGGAAAATCCCATGTCCTCAGCTGGCTGCATGCTCTCCTTGTTGGGAAAATCAGACCACCAGGCTGCTTCTGCGTGCCCTCCTGGGCCACTCAGAAACGTGGTGTGCAGATCCCAGGCGGAGGCCACTGGTTCTGGTGTCTGAAAACCTGCCAGCCCCACGGGGCAGGCTCTGTTTTCTTTTTGCTTAAATATTTCATGGAGCTCGGCCGTCGTGTTCATCCATGAGCTGCCTCTAGTTATCTGTGGAGCAGGACAAGCTTGCGTTTTGTCACTTTGCTCTTAAAGAAGTCTCGACTCAGTGATTTTAATTTTGGCTTTAAAAGAAAATGCTTGAACGCATGTCCATCCTTTCTGTTCTTTGCTATTTAGTGTTTAATTTGGCTTCTTTTTCCACTGGAGGGGACCTGGGTTTTGAGACACCAGCTCCATGTATACACCAGAATTTTCTTTAAATAAAGACTTGAATATTCGGAAGAGATCCTGCAGCTCAGCTGCTTGTGGCATGAGTTGGGGTCCTCACTGTGGGCTGGGCCTTTGGGCCTTGGTGCAGGGCTCCACCCAGGTGCCTCCTCTGTTCCTCTGGTCGAGGCCTGTGCCCTGAAAATGAGGGATGGGGTTAGGGGGCAGGTGTGTGTGCATGGATGTCGGCTCCTGCATGGCTCTATCGGGGTCGGGGGAGGGGCAGAGGAAACTACAAGCACAGACTAAAAAAAATGCAAACACACATCAGAGGACACACACAGAGTAGAAGAACAGCTCCCGGGATGGGAGAGAGCATTTGCAAATCATAGAGCTGATGAGGGGTTCATACCCAGAGGATGCCAAGAACTCCTACAACTCAACAGCAACAGCAAACAAATACACCCTTTTAAAAATGGGAAAAGGGCTTAAATAGCTATTTCTCTGTTTTTATTGTTGTTGTTTTTTTCTTTGAGGTGGAGTTTCGCTCTCGTTGCCCAGGCTGGAGTGCAATGGCACGATCTCAGCTCACCGCAACCTCCACCTCCCAGATTCAAGCGATTCTCCTGCCTCAGCCTCCCGAGTAACTGGAATTGCAGGCGTGCACCACCATGCCCAGCTAATTTTTTGTATTGTGAGTAGAGACGGAGTTTCACCATGTTGGCCAGGCTGGTCTCAAACTCCTGACATCAGGTGATCCGCCCACCTTGGCCTCCCAAAGTGCTGGGATAACAGATGTGAACCACCGCACCCGGCTTGAATAGCCATTTCTTCAAAAAGATACACAAATGATAATAAGCACATGGAGAGATGCTTCACATCCCTAATCACTAGAGAAATGCAAATCAACACTAATAATTGTGAAGACACCACTTCACAACTATTTGAATGGCTCTTATTTTTATTTTTTTTAATTTATTTGTTTTTGAGAGGGAGTTTTTCTCTGTTGCCCAGGCCGCAGTGCAGTGGCACCATCTCGGCTCACTACAACCTCCACCTCCCGGGTTCAAGTGATTATCTTGCCTCAGCCTCCAGAGTAGCTGGGATTACAGGCACCTGCCACCACGCCTGGCTAATTTTTATATTTTTAGTAGAGATGCGGTTTCGCCATGTTGGCCAGGCTGGTCTCGAACTCCTGACCTCAAGTGATCTGCCCACCTTGGCCTCCCAAAGTGCTGGGATTACAGGTGTGAGCCGCCGCGCCTGGCCAGGCTCTTATTTTTAGAATGGACAATACCGTGTTGGTGAGGATGTTACAAGTGGGGACCCTTGTGCGCTGCTTGTGGGAATGTAAAGTGGCATGGCTGGAAAACAGATGTCAGAAGCTCACACGGTAGCATCATAGGATCCACAGTCCCCCTTCTGGGTGCGGCATCGTAGGATCCACAGTCCCCCTTCTGGGTGTAGGGGCTCAGAGAGACATTTGCACATCCATGTTCCTGGGAGCATCATTCACGGTAGACACAGGTGGAAGCAACCCAGTTGTCCGTGGGTGGATGAACGGATTCATAAAATGTGACATGTACTTTTAAACAAAAATTATGGGCAGCTGTTGTTTTGAATGGAGCTCCTACACCAGGCCCCAATACATCACTCCATTTTGGTTTGGCCTGAAGGCTAAATGGCATCATCAAACTGAAACTTTAAGGAAGCAGATAGATCCCAAAGCTGACCAGTTTTTTCTGAAAACAGGAGACTGCAGTCTACCTGGTCAGTGTACAAAGGAAGTCCCTCTGCTTTAACCCTTACAACAAGGAACCTGAGGGAACCCGATGTCAACCGTCAGCCTTTCTTCTGTTCCGTGTCCCTGTACCCACTTTACAAAACCCACTGTTGGCCATTGCCCAGGGGGAGCTCTCATTCCTCGACTGAGGCTGCCCCATTCGTGAATCGAGAATAAAGGCCAATTCAATCTACAGCTAAATTTGTTATAATTTTGTATAACATTTTGATAGTACATGTAGTGGAATATTATTTAGCCTTAAAAAGTATCAACAAAGGCCAGGTGCGGTGGCTCACGCCTGTAATACCAGCACTCTGGGAGGCCAAAGCAGGTGGATCACAAGGTCAGGAGATAGAGACCATCCTGGCTAACATGGTGAAACCCCGTCTCTACTAAAATACAAAAAATTAGCCGGGCGTGGTGGTGGGCGCCTGTAGTCCCAGCTAGTAGGGAGGCTGAGGCAGGAGAATGGTGTGAACCTGGGAGGCGGAGCTTGCAGTGAGTGGAGATCGCACCACTGCACTCCAGCCTGGGTGACAGAGCGAGACGCCATCTCAAAAAAAAAAAAAAAAAAAGAAAGAAAGAAAAAAGTATCAACAAAAAAAAGCAAACTCTGTAAAATATTTAAAGAGGTTTATTCTGAGCCAATGTGAGTGACCATGGCCCAGAAAACAGCTTCAGGAGGGCCTGAGAGCCTGTGCCTGAGGCAGTTACAGTTTGGTTGTATACATTTCAGGGAGACAGAAGTTACAGGCAAAGCCAGGCGAGGCATAATCCCAGCTCTTTGGGAGGCTGAGGTGGGGGAATTGTTTCCCTACAGGAGTTCAAGACCACCCTGGGCAACATAGCAAGATCCCGTCTCTACAAAAAATTTTCTAAAAATTAGCCAGGCGTGGTGGTGCACACCCACGGTCCCACCTGCTTGGGAAGCTGAGGCTCCAGTCCGGGAGGTCAAGGCCACAATGAGCTGTGATTGAGATACTACTCTCAGCCTGGGTGACAGAGTGAGACCCTGTCTCAAAAAAGTAATTAATTAATTTAATTAAATAAAGAAGTTACAGGCAAAGGCATAAATCAGTACATGGAAAGTATACATTGATTCGGTGGGAAATGAGGGACATCTTGAAGGGGAGCAGAGAGATTTAAATGTTTTCTGATTAGTATTTGGGTGAAAGAGTTAAGCTGAAGACGTGAAGGCTTGCAGTGGGTGGAAAGAATCACTTGGCTTCAGCTGAGGGGCTGTGGAGACCAAGGTGCTGGTGACGTAGAAGCCTCCAGGAGGCGGCCCCGAGAGGACAGAGGGCAGGCAGGGCCTTCAAATGTGTGGGGACTCCTGGCGGGTCTCTCCGGGTGTGGGACCCTCGGCGGGTCTCTCCGGGTCGGAGGGACTCTCGGTGGGTCTCTATACCAGGGTCAGGCTGGATTTGGGGTCTTACCGCCACAGAGTCTGTTCTGCCGTCTTTGGATAACTATTTTGGAGTTAGTGTGGGTCAGCTGCACCTGAACTCCTAAAGGCGGGGGCGGGGGGGGTGGCGGGGTGGGCCGTGATGAGGAGAGTCCCTCCTCCCTTCTGTCACCGTGGGAATTTAGTGTTTCCTGTTGCCCTGGGTCCCCTTGTCCAAGAGGGGTGTTCCGTTCATTTGTCTGTGGGACTTTGGATTTTGTTTTTAGTTTACAAAAGAAAGGAAATTCAGACACACACTGCCACATGGATGGAGGCTGAGGACATTGTGTGAACGAAATAAGCCTGTCGATGAAAAGAGCGAAAGTCTGTGAAATATTTGAAGAGATTGATTCTGAGCCACACAGAGTGACTGTGCAGTGACACGGCCCTCGGGAGGTGGGCGGGTGCAGCTGGGCCTTAGTTCAGGCGGGCATGAGACATTTAAGATATACATTGGTCAGGTCCAGAAAGGCGGGACAGCTCCAAGTGGGGCTTCCAGGTCATAGGTAGATTTAAAAATGTTCTGATTGGCAATTGTTTGGGAGTTACTATCAATAGAAAGGATTGTCTGGGTTAGGGTAAGGGGCTGTGGAGGCCAAGGTTTCATCATGCAGGTGAAGCCTCCAGGTAGCAGGCTCCAGAGAGAAGAGATTGTATGGTGTTTCTTACCAGACTTAAGGTCTGTGTTGATGTTACTGCTGGTCGGCTTTTCCTAAATTCCGAAAGGGAGGAGGGCGGCATGAGGCATGGCCGACCACCGCTTCCCGTCGTGGCCTGAAGCAGTCTTTCTGGTTAACGTTGGGGTGTCCTGGCCCAGAGGAGGGGTCCATCCAGACGGTCGGGGAGGAGCCTTAGAATTTTATTTTTTGTTTACACTGCAGAGATGGCTTTGAACACCTCTCAGCAGGCCACCACTGCTCCCACCCACATGCAGGCACCCCAGGCTTCATTCCACGGCCAGGTCAGAGGGACCCAGGCCTGGAGGTCCGTGGTCACTGGCCCAGGTGGTCACCTCCAGGGGTCACCAGCATCTGGGCTCCCACAACTCCACTCCAAAAGCCCACCTGCTGGCAGGTCCCTGAGGTCTCATCACAGACCTGGAGACTCTCCCAGAGGAGCCTCAAGAAGGTGGGTGACCAGGGAATGGCCCCTCCTGCTGGGAGCAGGTTCCAGGGAGAGCCTTTGGGAATGAGGAGGGATGGGGCAGCCAGACACAGAAAGGTCAATCCTGCAGAATAACAGTTGCAGGCAGAGCCTGGAGTTGTCAAATTCTGGGAGACGGAGGCAGAACGGGGACTGCCAGGGGCTGGGGGAGGGGAATGGGAGTCAGTTTAATGGGTGCAGAGCTGCAGTTTTGCAAAGGAAGTTCTGGAGAAGGATGGCGGTGATGGTTTTACAGCATTGTGACTGCATTTAATGCCACTGAACTGCTCACCCAAAAATGGTAAAAATGGTAAAATGTTATGTGTATTTTATCACAATACAAAAAATACCAAAAAGAAAATGCAAGCAGACAGTAGGGGCCTAGAGATAAACTAAACCCTCCCGCACCCCCAGCCCCTTCCTTCTGCAGAGGACAGAGGCGCTTGATCCTGGCCTCTAGTTTTCTGAGAGGAGGCCAGTTTGATTAAATCAATTCACACCTAGGCAGGCTCTCCAGGGAGGGGGTCCTGTTTAATCTAAATTACTCTCTGCAAGGTGCTCTTTCAGGCCTCTTGGAAGAGATATTTTTGTCCAGGGACCTTCCTGTTTCAAATAACATCCTTTGTGAGCCCTTCCTGGCTGGTCCTGGAAAGGTCAGTGAAGGGGCTGGCAGCCTCTGACTTCCTGTGGGCAGATTCCAGGAAGGGGCAGCAAGCCTGGCCGCTAGGCAGCCTGCAGCCTCCGATGGCTCCTCAGTGCTCCAAGAGCAAGCACCTGGCCGCAATTACCCCGCTGGGCACTCGGGGCTTCTGCAGGGGCACCTCAGCTGGGAATTAGGGGGAGGGGTGACCACCCCAGCAGCTGTGTCCCCACAGGGAGGGGGTCTGCGGAACCGGCCATCATTTACTGCACAGACCGTGTGATGGACATGAGCCCTCGCTGGTCTTCCAGGCCCACTGGCAGCGGCCCCTGCCTGGCCCTTGTGGCCACTCACTGTCCTGTCTCCAGAGACCCCACACCCAAGTGTGAGGGCCGAGTTCTCGGCCAGGTTCCCTTTGAAGAAGGGGTGATCCCTGGGCCCCCTGCGGCCTCCAGCTGCTGTCCCACGCAGGCTCTCTCCAGCCCTCCAGGCCCGGCCTGGCCGTGCCGACAGCACATGCTCCTTCCCCAGCCCCGGCCCGGTTGGTCCAGTGGTGCTGGCTGCTGCTGTGGGTGCTGCACTTCCTTCCTCGGATGCAGTAAACTTCACGTTTTGCCTCAGGACGTTCCGAATCAGCCATGGGAATTGAACACTGGTTTAAAGCCACATTGGTGTCATCCCTGCTTTCTGCCGCTCGGAGGCCTGTGCATGCGCAGCCGGGATGGCAGTGGCCCCTGTTTATTCAGACGGGCATTTCAGCAGGGCTGGAACTCAGAGACACACCTGGTTCTAGTCTTTGCTTCCTTGCCTGTAATTTTCTCACATGTCCCCACTGCAGCCTGGTGATCTGTTGGTCTGGAAGTGGTACAGGTGTTAATGGATAAATAGCTGTACTCAATTGTAAAGTGTGGTGCGGTCCGCTGGTTTGAGGGGTCATTTTCAAGGCGGGTGCCCACCAGGCTGCCTGCCTCACCAGCTCACCATGACCCAGCGTGACCTCACCGTGCCCTCCACCCAGCGTGACCCGGAGCTGAGGGCTCCTCCCGTTCCACAGTTGAATTCCTGCCCCCAAATTGTCATGATGATGCTGGGACCAAGAACAGGTGGGTGGGGGCAGTGGCGGCGGCCTGGGAGCAACTGGTTTAAAGCTGGAGTGAAAACCCTGACTCTCCAGGATCTCGTTCAAAGGGGCCACTCCTTGTCGGAGCTGCCCTGAGCTGCCCTGGCAGAGCAAGGCCCTGGCGTGGAGCCCGGGACGTGGGCCCCTGCCTTGTGGGAGCTTGGGCATGGCGTAAGCCCCAGACACCATCCTCTCCCGCCACCCGGCGCTGCGCCGGCCAACTTCCCCTCCCTGAGGTTGGCGGGTGCGTCCAGGTCCCCTCCCTGAGGTTGGTGGGTGCGTCCACGTCCTCTCCCTGAGGGTGGTGGGTGCGTCCAGGTCCCCTCTCTGAGGTTGGCGGGTGTGCCCCTCCCTGCAGGGCTGTTCGCCCCCTCCCTATTTCTTGGTTCTGGGCTGCAGTCTTAGAACACACTGGTGACAGCCGCCCGAGCCAGCCAGGGGTAGGAGGGCAGGGTGCCCAAGAGGCCAGGTTTCCCAGCGCCAGGGTGCCCAGGAGGCCAGGTTTCCCAGCGCCAGGGTGCCCAGGAGGCCAGGTTTCCCAGCGCCAGGGTGCCCAGGAGGCCAGGGTGCCAAGCGCCAGGGTGCCCAGGAGGCCAGGGTGCCCAGCACTCTGCCCGAGAGTGTCTGCTGGCCCCGGTGCAGCCACGGGTTTGCTGGTTGGTACTGAGGAAGGTGCAGGGCTTGCAGAGGGGACTGGGCAGGTCACATGTCTGAAGCTCAGCAGTGGGTGGCAGCGCTCTGGGTGAAGAAGCAGCACCAGGACACAGGGAGAACCCTGGGAAGGTCAGTGGAGGCGCATGCAGGACACAGACAGCTGCCGACTGAGTCGTGCCCCCAGATTCGCAGCTGAGGCCCAGCCCCAACGGGACTGTATCTGGAGCTAGGACCTTGAGGGAGGGACTTAAGGTTAAATGAGGTTGTGAGGAAGGCCCTGACCCAATAGGACGTGTCCTTGTAAGAAGAGAAAGCGACACCAGGGATGCGTGTGTGCAGAGGAGCGGCCGTGGGAGGACACAGGAGAAGCCACCGTCTGCGGGCCATGAATAGGCCTTGGGAGAAACCGCCCAGCAGCCCCTTGGTCTGGGACTTCCAGCCCCCAGGCTGCGAGGGAACAATTTCTAGTGTTGAAGCCCCCGCCCATGGCGCTTTGTTACAATTGCTGGAGCTGATGAGGCCGGTCTTACACTTGCCCCTTATCCGACAGGACTGGCACCAGCGCTGCGGGAGGTGGCGGGATGTCGGGAAGCTCCGGTCTTGGGAAATGCCACCTTCCGCAGGTGATCCTTGAGCTGCGGCTTCTGACCCTGCGGATGGAGGGGCATGTTGCCCAGGAGGCTGTGTTGGGGCCCTCAGGGAAGGAAGGCCCGTGTCACAGATGGAGCCGTAAGCTCTGTGGTGCCCGGCACGGGAACAAGCCTTCTTTGGCCGCCTCTCAGCCCCCGTTACCATGAATACCGGGGCCCGGGGCCTGGGGCCCAGGGCCCAGTGCCCTCCCAGGATGGAGAATGGGCCAGGAAAGTCCATTTCCTCTTCTGCTGACCTACTCCCCCTTACCTCCCCTGAGTTCTGAGCACGTTGCCCAAAGAACAGGGGCTCTGAGTGAGTTTGGGATTGGAGGGGAGGGGTGTGTATGGGGGGGGCAGCTGATGGTCACGGGTATTCTAGGGGGAAGATGTGGGGAGGGCCGTGAGCACCTCCTGCCTGGAGTTCTGGGCAGTGGCTCAGGAAGAGGGGAGGGGGACAGAGAGAGACACAGAGACAGAGACAGAGAGACAGGGAGACAGAGACAGCCAGACAGAGACAGCGAGAGACAGAGACACAGAGACAGAAAAACAGACAGAGACAGATGGACAGAGACAGAAAGAGAGACAGAGAGAGAGACACACACAGAGAAGCAGAGAACAGGGAAGAGAGGGGAGAGGGGAGAGAGGGGAGTGGGGAGGGGAAAGGGGAGGGGGAGGGGAGGGGGGAGTGGAGGGCAGAGAGGGGAGGGGACAGCGAAGATGAGAGAGTGAGGAGGGGAGAGGGGAAAGGGGAGAAGGGAGAGGGGAGACAGGAGAGGGTGGAGGGGAGAGGGGAGAGGGAAGAGGGGAGAGGGGAGAGGAGAGAGGGGAGAGGGGAGACGGGAGGGGCGAGGGGGGAGGGGAGAGGGGAGAGAGGGGACAGGAGACGGGGGAGGTTTTCTTCCTCCTGATTATGGGGGCACCAGGGCTTATAGGGCTGGGCTGCCCCTGCCCTGTGGAGCGTCTGGGCTCTGTATGGAGGGGCCCTGTCTGGGGCCCAGAGATGCTGCCAGGGGTGGCCGGGTGAACTGACTGCGGCCCAGTGCAGCTCTGGGGAGGGGAGTGGCCACCCTGACGCCACCTGCCCCGCCTCTAGCACCAGAAGCAAAGGTGGAGGCCAGGAAGCCCCGGGAAGTCCTGCAGGGCTGCAGGGAAGAGGGGTATCTCTAAGCAACAGCCACAGTTGGTGGCTGGGAGCACTTCAGACTCCACATGACCAGGTCTGATCCTGCCAGCAGCACCCATGATAATGGTGACTTGGGCAAAATGAAAGTTCACTTCTCCCTCACTAAGCATTTTGTTCTGAATTTGTTCATCTGTTGATCTGTCCCGGCGAACCCTCTTGTCTCTGCCTGAGTGTCCAGTGGCCTCTCTGCACCAACGGAGTTATTCCTTGTCCACGCTGTCCTATGCAGCAGCCACCGGCCACATGTGGCTATCGGCACTTGAGCTGTAGCTGCTGTGGCTGAGGACCTGGATTCTTCATTTTTTAAAAAAAATTTTAACTTAAATATAAACTTCAGTGACCACACAAGCTTAGTGGCTGCTGTCCCAGTGAGGTCTGGGTGCTGAGGACACAGTGGGGAAGACAGTCCCCAGGGAGCCTCCATCCCAGGAGATACAGAAAACAAGCCAGGGGAGAGCACAGAGAGGGAGGCAGGGACAGCTGTGGTGCCCGTGGCGGCTCTGGTGCCCATGGCGGCTGTGGTGCCCGTGGCAGCAGGGACGGCTGGGACAGCCAAGTTACAGGCTCAGTGACATCTCTCCATTAGGACTGGGAGAGGACTGGGGGTCCTACTGCCTAGCACTTGAGAATGTGATGGTATTGGGAGGGAGCTGTTTGCAGAGGTCATCAAGTGACAGCTCACAGGGGTGCATCCTAATTCAATATAACGGGTGTCCTTATTAAAAGGGGGAATTTGGACACAGAAATAGACACTCACAGAGCAGGGACGATACAGAGACACAGGGAGAAGCTGGGGCCTGCAAGCCAAGAAGAGGCCGGAACCGGTGCCCGCCTACAGCTCAGGGGAGCAGCCCAGCCACACACTGACCTGGGACTTCAGGCCCGAGGCTTCGAGACGTGTCTGTGGTGTGCACAGCCTGGCTGCACTCATTTCCACAGCGGCCCGAGCGTATTGGTATAAACGTCCCGTGTCCACCCTCCCCCTCAGCCTGGCTGCTCTGAACTGGCCCAGGCCCAGCTTGCCCACCTTGGCTGCAGCCCCCAACGGCTCTGCCTCATGCTGAGCCTCCCAAGGGGTTCCCCTCAGAACATTCTCCCATGGCGTGGTCACCTAGAAGCTACTCCGAGCTGTCATGCCGGTGCAGTGACCACATCCCTCCCCAGCCAGTGCTTGTCAATGGCCCTCCTGGGTGAATCTCCCTTCCCTGCACCCCCTCCGCCAGCCACCTGAGCCCTCCCCGGGGCCCTGGGCTCCGCCCTTGCGCCTCTCGTTGCCTGGTGAGCAGAGCTTTCTTGTCCCACTGGAGTAGAGAGCGTGGAGCCAGCGGTGCGAGTTCCTGAGCACGGGGAACTCCGGGATTGCTGGGCATGCTGGCACCGTCCTGAACCCCATCTCCCTGTTTACAGAATGACGCCTCCCTCCAGGGACAGCTGTGGGGAGGGGAAGCCAGCAGGGAGCACCCCCCCTCACCAGCAGGGGGCACCCACTCACCAGCAGGGAGCACCGCCTCGCTGGAGCTGCACCTGTTTCCTCCTCCCCTGCTTACCAGTGTCTTCCAGACCCGGTGGGGGGGAACAGAACCGAGGGAGATGGAGACGCAGGTGTGGCTGTGTGTGCAGATTGGCGGTCAGGATTCACCCGAGGGGCCATGGGGATCACATGCCTCATCGCCTGGGATGTGCTGGCTGGGGCAGGGCCACCTTTCTCAGGAGGGGGATCTGCCTGGGTTCCCATGGGGCCCTGCTCCCTGCATGCAGGTGGGCCGGGGCTGCAGCGGCTGGTACGAGACAGCCAGCCAGCGATGGGAAACAGCGTTTCTGGGGGGCCTTCTGAGGGCAGGACGGCGCCTCTGGGGTGCTGGTTGAGGCCAAGGCGGTGGTGCCTGGTCACCGACCTCGGAGCGTTTGATGCCCTGAGACCTGGGATGCTCTGGGAGACAGAGGTGCAGGCCGGGCGTGTCCTGACACCTTCCAGCATGTCCCGGCCTGGTCCGCATCTGTGACCACAGAGGTCTTCTTGGCACTTCTTGGGATCAGAGCCCTGAGGCCCATGCATCCGGAAACGCCGTTTGGAGATGTGGAAAGTCCCTTTTGACTCACAAAATCTGCCTTTGTCTCAGCAAGTGTCCCAGAACCGTGGGGACGTAGTGGCCCTAGACTGGGAAGTGGGGCTCGGGAACCAGATTCAGAATT
Organism: Homo sapiens; assembly: GCF_000001405.40. Classification (NCBI taxonomy): domain Eukaryota; kingdom Metazoa; phylum Chordata; class Mammalia; order Primates; family Hominidae; genus Homo; species Homo sapiens. The sequence goes on along the minus strand of NT_187548.1, from coordinate 157,453 downwards.
ACTCACCTTCCCCAAAGACACGGGGCCTGCCGGGAGGAGGGACGTGGGTCACAAAAGTGGGCCGTGGCCACCCCAGGGTCAAGCAAGCTCGCCGTGTGCACTCGGGGAAGGCAGGCTGTGCGGACGCCTACAGAGGAACATGGGGGCCACTCTGCCTCCTGTTTCCCGGCACCCACACCCGCTAGGGCCACTGCCCAAACAGTTCTCGAGGCAACCTCGGTTCCAGGTTCCGGCATGTGGCACCATTGCTGCTGTGTGGACACCACCCCTCAGAGAAGGCCAAGCCGGCAAGGCCCAGGCAGTGTCAACCGCCCCAGCTCCCAGAACCGCATCTGTCAGGCTGAGCCGCCTCTTGGTTTGGGGCCCAGGGCCCTCGTGAGGATGTAGCTGAGCACCAGCTGCATTTGCCTGGAGTGGTTCCTGCCTTCCAGGGGCTGCTCCCCACCAGGGCTGGGCTTGGGTGCAGGCACTGGGGCCGCACGTCCTGGGGAGATGCTGTTACCAGCGAGGGTCCCCCGCCAGGATCCCAGCCGGCTGCCGTGGAGGCCAAGGGCTCACACTTTCCCCCTTCCTCTTGCCTACGGACCATGAGGACTCAGCAGCCACCTGGTGGGCTACGCCCATGGGGATGAGGAGGGAGCCCAGCTGTGGGGACCATCGGAGGCTCCCAAAGTGCACCTGCTGCCGCCCAGAGCCCCCCCCCCACCCCAAGCTTGGGTGAGGGGCGACCCCTGCAGCTGTTTCAAAGTCAAGACTTCAGCTTGCTCTCCTTTCAGAGGCCTGGGTGGTGGGTGCAGGTCCAAGGCTTCTGGCCAGTGCCCTGGAGTCGAGTATCCCCGGCTCACCTCAGGGCACATGTTAGGACCCAGCATGTGTTAAGGACCTGGTAGAAAGCTGTGTGTTGCAGTTGAACAGACACCCTGGGGCTCCCACTGTGCACACAGGGCTGTGTCGGGCAGTGGGGCTTAGCTTCCTGGGCCTCTCTCTGGAGCCCAAGTCCTTCTAAGTTTGGACCTTGATCCTGTTTTGGTTTCAAGGTTTGTAGTAAACTAAACGGTGGCCTCCAAAGAGCTACATCTATGTCCTGATTCCTGGAACCCGAGAATATGACCTTATTTGGAAAAGAATCTTTGCATGTGGGGTAAAGATCTCCAGCTGAAGTCGCCCCAGTTTATGTGAGCGGGCTCTAAGCCCACTGGCAAATCAGAAACAGACGAGGAGAGAGGCACACAGAGGAGGAGGCCCTATGAGGTTGAGAGGTGAAGCCCGCTGGGCCTCTGGGTAGGGTGGGGACTTGTAGAACTTTTCTGTCTAGCTAAAGGATTGTAAACACACCAATGAGCAGCTCTGTGTGTAGCTAAAGGTTTGTAAATGCACCAATCAGCACTCTGTAAAAATGGAGCAATCAGCACTCTGTAAAATGAACCAATCAGTGTTCTGTAAAATGGACCAATCAGCAGGATGTGGGTGGGGTCAAATAAGGGAATAAAAGCCGCCCTGCCCTGCCCCACCCCGCCGGCAGTGGGTGGTGCCCTGGGGTTCATTTCAATGATGTGGAAGGTTTGTGTTTTTTTCCGCTTTTCCCCTTTTGCAATAAATCTTGCTGCTGCTCACTCTTTGGGTCCGTGCCACGTTTAAGAGCTGTAACACTGCAAAGATCTGGGACTTCATTCTTGAAGTCAGCATAAACCAAGAACCCACTGGAAGGAACCAACTCTGGACACAGCGTGACCACTTCTGAGAAGAGGAGGGGCGGGTGCCGGCGGCTATCCCTGCTCCAGGGTCACTCAGGAACCAGGAGCCCAGGAACCAGCCCGGCAAGAGAGACTGCTCCTTCTGCCACAGCTCACTGGACCCCCTTAGGGTGTCTTCCACAGCGCTGGCGCCGACATCCATGATTCTCCTCACAGTGCGCCAGGCCCCGGGGAGCTGGTGCCGGGGGAGGGGCAGATCCAGGCGCTTGTGCTGTCTTCTCCGCCAGCCAGACCAAGGGTTCTGATGACGCACCTGGGCGAGCAGGGAGGGCCTGACCTGCAGAGGCCATGTCCAGGAAGAGGAGCCCCGGCCCCGAATCGCCCAGATGTGTGGCCCAAGGACAGCCGTGCGAAGTCCTGGGGCGGGCCCTGTTTGCCAAGTCCAGGATGAGGCCATGGACATGAGTGGGGACCACCCGGAGGGGAACGGGGTCATTCAGTGCCTGCTCGGGGGGTCTGGACGTCCAGGCAGGTTGAGGAGGAGGGGGAAGGTGTGGACAACGGGAAGGGAAGGTGTAGCTGGAGCTGAAGGTGGTCTTCTAGCAGTGGGGACCCCCTGGGGCTGGGTGCGGTGTATTTGACGTCCCTGGCAGGTGCTGAGCTGTAAGGAAACAAGGTGGGGAGGCAGGCAGTCAGGGATGGAGTCCTGGCTCTCTGGGCCAAGGTTCTTTGTCATTCGTGGTCTGATCCTTGTCCTTCGGAGTCCTTGGTTTCTCGGGGCACAGATGGAGGGGGCTACGCAGGAAGTGGCTCCGGATCGTGCCTGGCCTCGAGTGCTCTGGGAAGAGGGCACAGGTGGCCCCGCCTGTGATGGGGGCATGAATCCTTGGAGTAGGGGCAGGGTGAGCTTGAGGGGGTGAAAACCCGGGACTGCAGCGGCCTCACTGTGGCTGGGTGTGGCTCTGTGCAGCCAGCTCTGGGCTGGGAAACACTGGCTGTAGACACACGTGTGTCTGCATGTGTGTCCTGGTGTTGGAGTGTGTGAGCACGTGTGTGTGTCCTGCTGTTGGTGTGTGTGCACATGTGTGTCCTGGTGGTGTGTGAGTACATGTGTGTGTGTCCTGGTGGTATGTGTGCACGTCTGTGTGTCCTGGTGTTGGTGTCTGAGCACATGTGTGCCTGCGTGTCCTGCTGTTTGAGCATATGTGTGCCTGCGTGTCCTGCTGTTTGAGCATATGTGTGCCTGCGTGTCCTGGTGTTGGTGTCTGAGCACGTGTGTGCCTGCGTGTCCTGGTGTTGGTGTCTGAGCACACGTGTGCCTGCGTGTCCTGGTGTTGGTGTCTGAGCACACGTGTGCCTGCGTGTCCTGGTGTTGGTGTCTGAGCACGTGTGTGCCTGCGTGTCCTGGTGTTGGTGTCTGAGCACATGTGTGCCTGCGTGTCCTGGTGTTGGTGTCTGAGCACACGTGTGTCTGCGTGTCCTGGTGGTGTCTGAGCATATGTGTGCCTGCGTGTCCTGGTGTTGGTGTCTGAGCACACGTGTGCCTGCGTGTACTGGTGTTGGTGTCTGACCACGTGTGTGCCTGCGTGTCCTGGTGTTGGTGTCTGAGCACACGTGTGCCTGCGTGTCCTGGTGTTGGTGTCTGAGCACACGTGTGCCTGCGTGTCCTGGTGTTGGTGTCTGAGCACACGTGTGTCTGCGTGTCCTGGTGTTGGTGTCTGAGCACGTGTGTGCCTGCGTGTCCTGGTGTTGGGGTGTGTGCACATGTCTGTGTGTCAGTCGTGTCTCATGTCTTGGTGGGTGTCAGGAGGAGTCGTGATTTCTCGGAGCTGGGTTGGAGGGACAGTGGAGTGTTTCCCTCTATTGCACGGATGGTTCCTTGGGAGGACAAAGCCGCACAGCAGTGCCTGCAGGAGCAGAGACGGCCACGATTCTCCCTCCTCCTGTGGCCTCTCCGCAGTCTCCTCTTCCATGGCCTCTGAACCTTCTCATCAGCAGCTGTTTGCTTAAACATGGGAATCTCAGCATGAATCAAGGGGCAATGTGCATCCGTGTCCTCTGGACCCGAGCCAGGCCTGGAGATGGTGTGCTGCTTACCCCTGCACCCCGCAGGGCCGACGAGGCCACCATTTCTGTGGGAAACTTACAGGATGAGCAGGGAGGTTGAGGGAAACGGGGAGTGCGTTTTGGATGTGGGGATGGTGCAGTCCAAGCTGGCACTGTTTGTCAAACTCTTGAAGATATTTTTGGAAAACCCACCAGCTGTGAAACTGCACTCCTCTGCAAGAGACCTGGTGTGTTCCTGCCCTTACCAGGGCGAGGGACTTAAGCTGAGCCTTCAGTAAACCCTGAATGGGATGTTTGTCTTTCCAGGAATATCGTCACACTGTCACCACTCATGCACGCACCTGAAGCTGCGTGTGGCATCACTTTGCACATGTTCACACTTACAGAAATGGCACTAGGGGTAAGCACCGCCCTAGACTTGTTTTGGAGCTGTCTTTGTACCCCTGTGGCGACTTCAACCCTGGGACCAGCATCATGTATCTCCATGGCCACCCTGGATCCCGGGGCAGCAGGGCTGGGGACGAGGGCCGCAGGTGACATCACCCACAGTTGACTGCACCTGGGCTGGAGCGAGAATGGCTAGTGTTGAGGCATTTGTCCAAGGCCCTGGAAACGGGCCTAGTGTTGAGGCATTTGTCCAAGGCCCTGGAAAACGGAGCATGGTGGTTGTGTGTGGTTGACTTCCTGGGTCCTGGGAACTCCCTCTGCCTGTTTAGTCAAAATCTCACAGGCTCAGCTGCAAATGCACCTTTCAATTTCCTTACTAGGAAGGTTCTGGCTGGCCCCACAGTCTTTCCAGATGTTTCTCCTTTCATTTTCCATCTACTCATCCCCATCTTACAGATGAGCAAACCGAGGCTCAGGAAGGTGAATGTCTTTTGTTTGAGATGGAGTCTTGCCCTGTCGCCCAGGCTGGGGTGCAGTGGTGAGATCTCGGCTCACTGCAGCCTCTGCCTCCCGGGTTCAAGCGATTCTCCTGCCTCAGCCTCCCGAGTAGCTGGGATTACAGGCCCCCGCCACCATACCCAGGTAATTTTTGTATTTTTGGTAGAGACGGGGTTTCACCATGTTGGCCAGGCTGGTCTCGAACTCCTGGTAATCTGCCCATCTCAGCCTCCCAAAGTGCTGGGGTTACAGGGATGAGCCACCGCGCCTGGCCGTGCCCTTCTTTTTTAAGGTGGAACAACATCCCGCTGTGTGGACCGACTTGTTTTGTTCATGGCTTTATCTGCTCACCACCTCTCGGGCTGATTCTGCCACCTGGCTGTTGTGGGTAGTGCTGCTCTAATCACGGGTGTGCAAATATCTGTTCGAGTCCCTGCTTTCAGTTCTTTATAGCACGTGCAGAAGTGAAATTGCTGGGTCAGAGGGTCATTCTATTAACTTTTTCAGGAACTGCCGTTCTGTTTCCGTATGGACTGTACCAATTTACACTCCCACCGGTAGAAGACAAGGGCCCCGTATTTTCACATTCTTACAGCATTCATTTTCTCCTGTTTTGATAGTAGCCGTCTTCATGGGTGTTCAAATTTTTTTTTTTTAAACAGAATTTTGCTCTTATTGCCCAGGCTGAAGTGAAATGGCATGATCTCAGCTCACTATAACCTCTGCCTCCCGGGTTCAAGTGATTCTCCTGCCTCAGCCTCTCCAGTAGCTGGGATTATAGATGTGTGCCACCACACCCGGCTGATTTTTGTATTTTTAGTAGAGACGGGGTTTCATCATGTTGGCCAGGCTGGTCTCGAACTCCTGACCTCAGGTGATCCGCCCACCTTGGCCTCCAAAAGTGCTGGGATTACAGGCATGAGCCACCGCGCCCAGCCAAGTTTTTTAACTCACTAGAAACACGTAGCTGTCCCAGAATTGCAGAGCTGGAGCTGGGAGAGCCACCCAGTTCTCTCACAACATGAGAATCAGCCGGGAGGCTTTTAAAGGGGAGGCTGGGCTTGTACTAGGCTCTGGCTGTCTGGGGTGGGTCTGTGGTGGGCCAGGGAGACTAGCTGGGCTGAGCAGGCTTGTGGGCACAATCAAGCTCCCTCTCTCCATGGTGTACGTGCTGGAAAGTTCAGGGAGGAAGGCCATGCAGCGGTTAGAACAAGAGCCCACCCCCACCTCCAGCTGCAGCTCCACACAACCCTCTCTGGTGTTGCTGCCTCGGTTGGTCAGGGAAATAACTTGGCTCCCCTGGGATTACTGGGAAAGCTATTTACAGGGTCTGAGAACCCCAGGGGGTTCCTGAGCTGCCCCCAACCTCAGCCTCTGAGATTCAGCAGCAGATGTTCATACCCCGAAACTCCACACATAGAGGAAGTTCTCACCGAGGGGCGCACGTCCAGCCTCCCGTCTCTGACAGTGCTTTGGGATGACACCCAGCAAGCATGCCGGCCAGCAAGCGTCAGCGTCAGCAGCAGCCACAGCGGCCTACCAGTATTTGGGATTGTTCTCTCCACCCACAGTCAACCCCAGACAGCACTGTGTGGGGTCCCCCTCGCATCTCTTGCCTTAAGTCCTGTCGACGGAAAGAACAGGCACCTCATGGCTCTGCCCCCACCTCACCCAGCCCTCTCCCCCAGGACCAGCAGGGCAGGGTTTCCAGGGAGCTGTGTGCATTTGAAAATCCTCCACTCCTGGAGGAGGTGGGGCTGACGGGATTCAAGCTGGGGTCTGAAGATCCTGAGGAGGTCGGGGGGTTGGGGGGAGCTCTTGCCCACATGTGCGACTCCCAGCCATTAGCCCAGCGCAGGGCGCCTGGTTAAATTTGTTTCAAACTAACACAAATAATTCTTAGTAGAAGCAGCTGGGTGCGGTGGCTCATGTCTGTAATCTCAGCACTTTGGGAAGCCAAGCCTGGCAGATCACTTGAAGTTGGGAGTTCGAGACCAGCCTGGCCAACATGGTGAAACTCCGTCTACCAAAAATACAAAAATTAGCTGTGTGTGGTGACGCACGCCTGTAATCCCAGCTACTTGGGAGGTTGAGGCAGGAGAATCACTTGAACCCAGGAGGCAGAGGTTGCAGTGAGCCAAGATCCAAGATCACGCCCCTGCACCCCAGCCTAGATGACAGAGCGAGACTGTCTCAAAAATAAATTCTTAGTAGAAGCAATATTTGGGTCACACTACATCAAAATAAAATTCATCATTTATCTGAAATTTGTGCTGGGCCGAGTGCCCGTGTCTTATCCGGCAGCCCTACCAGGTCCTTTGGCCATGGACACTGCAGTGCAGTTCTTGGGAGGCGGTGCTGGCCCCAAGGCTCCAGAGGGAAGCAAGCTGGGCACACGCCTCTTAGGAGGGGCCGGAGCACGCCAAGGAGATGTTCTGGGGACATTAGGATGATCTCAGGAAGCTGAGGGGGAAAGCTGGCCCTGGAATGGTCCAGAAGGCAGGCAAGGGTTCTTCATGAGTCAGGGCCCCCTGGAAGGGAAGGGACAGAAAACAGCCCGGGTGTTAGTTCAAAAAAGAAAAGAAAAAAGAACTGTTACCAGAAAGGGGCCCCAATCCAGACGACCCCCAAGAGAAGGTTCTTGGACCTCACACAAGAAAGAATTGGAGGTGAGTCCATAGAGTATAAAGTGAAAGTAAGTTTATTAAGAAAGTGAAGGGATGAAGAATGGCTCCCCGACCAAGGACACTTACTGTTACTTCTTCATTATGCGCTGAACAAGGGGTGGATTTTTCATGAATTTTCCAGGAAAGGGGTGCAAAATTCCCAGAACTGTGGGCTCCTCCCCTTTTTAGGCCATAGAGGGTAGCTTCCCGACGTTGCCGTGGCCTCTGTAAACTGCCACCGTGCTGGTAGGAGTGTCTCTTAGATGCTAATGCATTCGAATTAGCGTGTAATGAGCAGTGAGGACAACCAGAGGTCACTTTCATGCCGCCTTGGTTTTGGTGGGTACTGGGTATTGGATGGCTTCCTGACCACAACTTGTTTTATTAATAAGGTTTTAACGACCTGCCTCTTGCGCGGTCGTCCCGTCTCACCTTGTGACTGAGAATCCCTAAGCTCCTGGGAATGCAGCGCAGCAGGCCTCAGCCTCATCAGACCCAGCCCCTGTTCAAGATGGAGTCACTCTGGTTCAAACGCCCCTGACAGAACCAGGGGCAGTGAGCTTTGCCGTGTACACAGCCAGGGCGCTGGGCCCCACCTGGGAAGCTGCTCCTGGCAGGCATTGCCCTACCTCCCAGGAGGATCACCTTGCTTACTGAGCCCTTCCACAGCACAGGCCACAAAAGGAGCCCCTTTCCCGTGTCCTGGACGAGGATCTGGGAACCCACCCCAGACAAGCCATGGCTAGGCAAGGCTCTGGGGATTGGCCTGACTCAGGGTCTCAGTCCCAGCAGCCGTTCCAGGGTGGATTCTGGGGGCCCCAAGGGAGGCAGCCCTAGCGCCTGGTTAGGGACCCGGAGAGGTCAGGTGAGGCCCCCAACACCAGGCAGGAGAGGTGGTCCTGGCAGGTTGCCCGGAGCATGCCCTCTGGGAGGTCCTCAGGGCTTGTGTTGACCACCAGGGCCGGTGCCTGCTTCCGACAGCGTGGCGGCCGTGCAGGACTGTGCCTCAGGTGCTAGGATTGTGTAGAATCCTGAGTTTCTGGAACCATCTGCCTGTTGCACCAATACCGGCTCCCTCCCCCACACCCTTCAGCAGCTGCTGAGGCTGAGGTGCCAAAAGGAGGGGCCCAGGAATGCCCCTGTCTGCAAGTGGTGCCAGGCCCCAGCCTCTGGGTGACTCTTGGCAAGGAGCAGGACGGCCGGGAGGGACGGTGTCCCTGCACATCCCCATGGGCCCCTGCAAGTCCCCGTGAGTCCGAGCGTGTCCCCACGTGTCCCCGTGAGTCCCCTAGCGATCCGGGACGTCCCTGTGAGTCCCTGTGTGTCCCTGCGAATACAGGCGCTGAGCTCTGAGTCTCTGTTTTGCTTTGATTAGGCCTCCATCTCCTAGTCCAGGCCTTGCTACCCTCCCCCAGGCCTCACCCTGGAAACACCACCCCCTCCCTGTTCTGTGTCCTGGGACCCCATCTCCTAGGTGGGCCCCCAGCAGCCCTCAGACCACCCTCCGACGTGAGGTTCTGTCAGGGAACCCTGTGCTACTCCAATGTTGTCCCCAGGGCTTACTCCCTGAGCTGCCTCCCGGCTCAGACTGGCCCAGCCGCTCCCCTTGGCCGGAAGGAGACTGCATGGGCTGTGCTGAGCTCAGCCTCCTCCTCTTTCCGCTTCTGCCACCCTCCCACCACCCGCCCACCTGCGTCTGTGCTGGGTTTCCCTGGCAGGAGCTCTGTGCACCTGTCCAGGTGTGTCTGCTGGAAGCTCCCGCTGCTCCCTCTGGGCAGGCACAGGTGCACCTGCAGGCCCAGGGAAGAATGCAGCACGCCCTCCCTCCCTGCTGCCCCCACCCTGGCTAAGGAGGTGAGGGGACCTGCGCGGGCAGCCGCCCTGGCTAAGGAGGTGAGGGGACCTGCGCGGGCAGCCGCCCTGGCTAAGGAGGTGAGGGGACACGCGTGTGCAGCCGTGGGCAGGGCTGTGGGAGGCCCCAGGTGGCCTCTCCTGGGGTGGGGTGGGGGCGGGGCTTTCATTCAGCCTCTCTTCCTCCCACAGCTCAAGCTCTGGGAAGGCCAGGTCTTTGCTCCTCTGCCCAGACGCAGATGCAGGTGCACCCTGGGTCCTCCTGTCCTCGCTGGGTGTTGAGCGGAGACAGGAGGTGCCTGCCCAGGTCCCTTGTCCTGAGAGTGCCTCCTCCCAGCCAGCCTCGCCCGGTGGGGTCCTGCAGGTTACGACTGAAGCGAGTGGTGCGGCTTCTGGAAGATTCTGGAGGGTCCTGGGCTGCCCGGGAGGCTGCTTGATGGGGGTGGTGGAAAAGGGGCCCCCACAGCTAATACTCCTGTAAACCAAACGGGTGCAATTCTGGGTGATTTTCCGCAGATTTTTCTGAACCACATCCAGAAGTAAAGTCGTGGAGGAGATATCAAAACTTCTTGGGTATCTAAACTTCCTCTTTCAGGGGAAGAAGCAGAGGTAGCTTTGACTGCCCCAGCTGGCCAGGGCGTCCCTTGAGCTCTGACCCCTGACCCTCTGGCTCCTCACCTGGGAGTCAGGTGATGGCTTCACGCCCAGGACACAATGGGCTGTGCAGTTTCCAGCTCTGACGGCAGCAGGGCGTTCTTTTCCTCTTGAATCACCAGGTTTCGGGTCAGCAGTGTCGAGAGCCCGGCTCCAAGGTGCTTCTGAACGGTAATCTCAGCCGGGATCTTTTCTTCCTGTTTAATCATATCCAGAAATTACATCCCATCAGGGTGACCCCTGTGACTTTTTCCGTGAAACAGTGGGTGCCCCAGGTGTTCCCGTGTTCATCCGCGTGAGGGCTTTGGAAACCTTGCCAGGGATGCCTGAGCAAGTGTGTCTCTCGGGGGTTGGCCGATGCCCCAGCTGGGCTCCTGGAGCCGCCCTCCACCCTGTCGCCTGGGACGCTGTGGTTTCCCTGGTCCTGGTCCTGGTCCTGGGCGTCACAGGAAAGCTGAGGGGGCCAGGAGGGGAGGGCGCCTGGTTCTGTCCCTTACGCTAGGGGAAGCCCGGAACTTTCTCTGGCCCTTGTGGGCCTGGGATGCTCGGGACACTCCTGGTGGCCCATGGCCACCTCCTTGCCTTGGGTGGCTGCTAAGGCTCTGTGAGACTGGACTTCGGAGGTGGGGGTGTTACCTGAACGTCCTGCCCACCTCCGACTTTCACTTGGAGCCAGGAGGCGTTGTACCCTGCAACAGCTCAGCCCTTGGGGATGCACAGAGGGGCCGGCAGCAGTGGCGGCTGGCTGAGGGAGGCCTCTTGGAGGGGTGTCCTCGTGTGTCTAGGAGAGACGTGGCTGTCCCCCTGGCCTGGCAGGCCCTAGGCAGCAGCTGTGACCGAGGTTTGAGGAGAGGGACTTCTAGAGGCCATCAGACTTGGGATCCCAGGGGTGCTCCCAAGCCTTGCAGGGGATCCCAGGAGTGCTCCCAAGCCTTGCAGGGGCAGCGGGGTATGCTTGGCCATCAGGGAAAGCTGAAAGCAGAGCTGGCAGGTGTGTTGGACGCACATGGGGATGGAGCACGTGGCAGGGAGCCGCGTGACTGAGGGTCCAGCTTGTGTGGGTGGATGGTGGGAGTGGGTCTGGTTTCTGCATGTGTGTGCACATATGTGTGTATGCAAACATGTGATCCATTCTAGGAAAAGGCTGGAAGCCGTGTAGAGACCAGGCAGGCACTTGGGGCCACTCCCATTGGTGTGCACGCATGCACACACACACGCACACATACATGCACACACGTGCACACATGCTCCGCTGCAGCCTGTCAGGACTGGTGGTCACAGGGCAGACCCAATACCCATGGGCCACCTGGTCTGTACCAGTCTCACTAGCCACCGCACCTGCTGAGCCTGTTGTTTATCAAATATTTACTGAGCCCCAGAGGTCTCAGAGTGTTGGGGGCTGGGCAGCACTTTTCCTCCCTATGAGAAGATGAATTCTAGAACCTTCCATCAACCACATGAGGAAGGAAACCCCTGTTGGGGGCTCCATCTGTACCCAGGCATGCTCCAGGGTCACTGGGTCCGCGTGAGATGTCCCATCCTGCCTCCATGCATTGCTGGTGGCTTTTGTTTGTCTGAGTCTGGCTTCATTTCCTGGAGCGAGGCCACCAGTTTCCACTGGGCCTGACTGCTCCGTGAGAGCTCGTCCTGGGATTTGGCTCTTGTGCTGCAGATCAGCGGGAGTTTACCTGGCAACTTGGATCCAGCAACCCTGGTCCCACAGGAGCTGGAGCGGACTTCCCGCCAGGTTGAGACCACAGGTGCAGGGGAAGGGGCGAGAGTGTTCCTCAGGCACCCACCTCCCAGCCACGCCCACTCCCAGCCTGCCTTAAGGATGAGATCTGTTTCCTCAGTGAACTTGCCCCAGTGCATGGCGTGAGAAGCTAAATGACACACATCCTACATTCACTGCTTCTGGAATAACCAGAGATCACGCGCCTGTCACCACCCCCAGATGAAAACCAGGACGTCGCAGCCCTGGAGAATCTGAGCCACTCTTGGGACACTTTCCTGGGGTGTGGGCATCTCCTCGTGCTTTATCTTCCCTTCCTTGATGACAAGTGCTAATTTGATAACAGGAGATGTGCAAAATTACTTCTTTTTTAAAATTCTCTGAAAGACTTCAATGTAACTGGTATTATTTCTTCCTTCAGTGTTTGGAAAAGTTTACCAGTGAGTCTGTGTGGCCCTGAAGGTTTTATGTGCAGGAGGGGGGCAAAGTTAAATCAAGGATTTAATTTCTTCATGAGACATAGTACTATTCAGAGCTTCTGTTTCTTTTTGTATGGATTTTGGAGAATGTGTCTATTTTATCTCCATTTACAAGATCGTTATCACAGAGTTATCTGTGGTATTTGTATATCCATCAGTTTCCTCGGACTGCTGTGATCACCACACACTGTGGCTTCACAGATCTGCCTTCTCAGTGGTGGAGAAAGGAAATCTGAAGTCCAGGTGTGGGCAGGGCTGCACGCCCTCCGGAGGCTCTAAAAGAGGCTCCTTCCTGCCCCTTCCAACTTCTGCGGCTCCAGGCATCCCTGGGTCTGTGGCCCCATCGCCTCAGCCTCTGCCTCCATCTCTGTGGCCCTTGCCTTTTGCCTCTCCTCTGTGGCCTCAAAGCTGTCCATATAAGGACATCAGTCGGCCAGGCGTGGTGGCTCACGCCTGTAATCCCAGCACTTTGGGAGGCCAAGGCAGGTGGATCACGAAGTCAAGAGATCGAGACTATCCTGGTCAACACAGTGAAACCCCGTCTCTACTAAAAATACAAAAATTAGCTGGGCGTGGTGGCGTGTGCCTGTAGTCCCAGCTACTTGGGAGGCTGAGGCAGGAGAATCACTTGAACCTGGGCGGTGGAGGTTGCAGTGAGCCGAGATTGCGCCACTGCACTTCAGCCTGGCAACAAAGCAAGACTTCGTCTAAAAAAAAAAAGACATCAGTCATTGGATTGAGAGCCCACACCCTACTCCAGGATGACCTCATCTTCATGATGTGGTCCCAACTGCAAGGAGCCACCTCCCAGTCAGGACATTCACAGGTACCTGTGTTAGAACTTCAACATATCCTTCTGGGGAAGCCCAGCTCAACCCACTCCACTACCTTTATACTTTTGCAGGATCTACAGTGGTGACTCGTCCCTTAAGCACGGTTTCAGCTGCATCTTATGGTTTCGATAGGTTGTATTTTCATTATAATTTAGTTCGACAGAAAACTAAATACAGCATGTTCTCACTTATAAGTGGGAGCTAAACGATGAGAACGCATGGACACATAGAGGGAAACAACACAGCCTGGGGCCCACTTGAGGGCAGAGAGTGGGAGGAGGGGAAGGATCAGGAAAGATAACTAATGGGTACTAGGTTTAATACCTGAGTAATGAAATAATCTGTACAACAAACCCCATGACACAAATTTACTTGTGTAATAAACGTGAATATGTACCTCTGAAACTTAAAACACAAAACAAAAACCAAAAACAAATCAGAAGAAAAAAACTAAACAATTTAAAATGTTTTAAAAAGTGAGTAACATCTCAATTATATTAAACATTAAAAAGAATAGGTAGGGGCTGGGTGCAGTGGCTCACGCCTGTAATCCCAGCACTTTGGGAGGCCGAGGCGATCAGATTACCTGAGGCCAGGAGTTCAAGACCAGCCTGGCCAACATGGTGAAACCCTGTCTCTACTAAAAATATAGAAAATTAGCCGGGCATGGTGGCCCATGCCTGTAATCCCAGCTGTCAGCTACTTGGGAGGCTGAGACACGAGAATCACTTGAACCTGGGAGGTGGAGGCTGCAGTGAGCTGAGATCATACCACTGCATCCAGCCTGGAGTGGGACTCTGTCTCAAAAAATAATAAAATAAAATAAAAAGAATAGATGAATTCATGGGTTAATATTGTGTAAATATACTATGTGTATATTGCTAAGAATTAGCTTAATAACATGAGTGACTTTTTGGAAACATTAACAATTAAATTAATGAAGATATAACAATGCAAGCAGACAGACTTTTTTTTTTTTTTTTTTTTGAGGCAGGGCCTGGCACTGTTGTCAGGCTAGAGTGCAGTGATGTGATCTCAGCTCCCTGCAACTTCCGCCTCCCAGGTTCAAGTGATTCTCCTGTCTCAGTCTCCTGAGTAGCTGGGATTACAGGCACATGCCACCATGCCTGGCTAATTTGTGTATATTTAGTAGAGATGGGGTTTCACCATGTGGGCCAGGCTGATCTCAAACTCCTGGCCTCAGGTGATCTGCTCGCCTCGGCCTCCCAAAATGCTGGGATTACAGGCATGAGCCACTGTGCCCGGCCCAGGTAGACATTTTAACCATGTTTGATATATTTCAAATTTTACCATTTATACAAAGTAATTGGGATCCAATTAGTCAAAGTTATAAATAAATTAGAATAGTCTCCCACCCTAGATAAACTTTCCAAAACCACTGTTTTGGAGTTTGGAGAGCAGTGACATTTTCCGCAGTACAATTTCTAACATGTTGACACGCCTGCAGATTCAATGAAAATACTAAAATACCATTATTATGCACTATTCAGCATAAAAATACTAAAATAAACTTAAAAAGTGTGCCGTTTGACTTTACTTGCTTTTACCCATGAAGTGATGTTTCTGTATGAAAGTCTTAGAATTAAAAAGAATTCACACACACACACACACACACACACACTTTCGTTTAAAACATTATCTCATTCCGATCACGGCTCACTCTTCAGCACGTGGGTTTCTCCATGTGCTGCAGTTCCCAGGCCCCGGGGGATTTTCCATTATCTTTCCACAGCTGCTCTGTGCTCCATTCCCAGCTGTCAGAGCTCCTCTCTCAACCCTGTGGTGTGGAGTAGGGGCCGGGCAGTGGCTGGGTGCATTTCCACATAGCTGACCATTAATTAGGTCAGTCTTGCTTATGGGTTGTTCAAATCTTCTTTCTCTCCAGTGATTTGTTTTACCAGTTATGGGGCGAGGTGTCTTGAAATCTCTAGCTGTTCCCTGGAGTAGTGTCTGTTTCTCCTCCAGTTCTCTGGATTTTGCTGAAGCGGGGCGTCATCAGGGTGTGAGATTTGAGGTCTGGCCGGCCGCCTCGCTCCGGTTAGTGCAAGCACTGGTGTCTTTTCTTTTGATTATTTTGGATTAAACACTTTTTTTATTACTCCGTTTTCTCCCTGTGTTCGCTTGCTAGCTGTGTGTTCTGCTGTTCTCACGGTCGTCGCCCCAGTGTCTGCCCTGCACAGATGCCCTTGATGGTCCAGGTCTGCTGCGATCAGGGACTCCAGGGCCTCCCTCCCCTGTGCTGGGCGCTGAGTGTTCAATGTGTCCAGCGCCGCAAGGCTCTGCCGCCTGCCCCGCCAGTCCGTGTTCTCTGAGCTCTGGATTTCGGTGTTTCCATCAGGAACCATTTTCCTTCCACTTGGGATAAATCCTCACAGTTTTCGTTGGTCTGGAAATGTCTTGATTTTGCCTTCATTTTTGAAGACAGTGTTTGCTGGCGCAGAGGTCGAGGCTGCAGCTGTTTCTCTGTACTTTGGAAGCACCCTCCCATGGTCTTCTGTCCTCTGTGTTTTCTTTGACCACTGCACGCAGCTACTTCCTCATGACCAGGCGCTGGAGCTGCAAATCTTTTTGGTTTTTGTTTTTTAAATGTGCATTCCTTTTCTCCTCGAAAACAGTGAGGGATTAGGTGGTCTTTGAAAGACTTTTCTCTTGGCTTGTGGGCGCTGATCTCTATGCTGAAGATCTCTGGCCTGTGAAGTGGGTCCCTGAGGACGAATCTAGCTGTTGCTAGTTGTTGGAGCAGATTGACCTGCTGTCAGCTGTGGGTTTTGCATTGCGAGGTCCATGGAGGTTGCTGTCCTTCAAAAGCAATCAAAGCTTATTTTTTAAATGTATTTTTAACTTATCACCCTGAGAAAATAGAAATTGATGACTTGTGGTATTTGCACAGATAAGTCATTCTCCACTGAGAGCGATGAATTTAGTAGCGTATTGGCCTGACCTCGTGATGCAAGCCAAATATTTAAGGTTTCAATGAGGCAATTAGACCAAGAGAGTTATCTCAGAAACTGTTACTCAAACATGTTTCCTCTTCTCTCTTCTCTTAATGAAACAAACGAAGAAAGTCAAGAAAGAGAGGTGGATTTGGGTTCAGTTTGCCAAGCAAAATTTGAAGCTTAAACCTTCAGGATATGCCCTACCAGTTTGCAACACTGTTTGATGGAGGCCCCGATCCCGGCTCCTTGGCCAACACACGTGACGTGTGTCCTCCAAGACCAGGACACTCAGAGAAGCTGACCGCGGCCCCCGGCCCCTCAGCGGGGAACGCCCACTTCTGTGCGGCGGTCTCTGGCCGGCCTCATTGCCTTGCTGAGCTGCTACCCCTCAGTGGGCCGGCGGGGCCAGGCTGGGCAGCTTTATTCATTTATCTGGGGGTCTTTGGCAGGGAGGAGGCTAGACAGCTTAACTCATTTATCTGGGGGTTCTTTTGCCAGGAACCCTAGATGTGAGCTCTAGTGCGCCTCCAGGAGTTGGTGGTGTTACCTGGCAGGGCTGTGCTTGCAGGTGCTGGGACCCAAGGGTTCAAGGGCCCAGGAGTGGCCCCCTCCCCTCCTCGGAGCCGGGGTCCCTGCGACCACTCCTGCTCTGCACGCCCAGCATGCCTCTCTATGCGGCTCCCAGAACCCACTTCCCCAGAGGGAATGTGGACCCAGGGCAAGCCACTGCCTCCCTGGGGCCCCACAGAGTGACCTTGGGCACAGGCCACCCGAGACCTTATCTGAGCCAAGTGTAAAAATAGGACAGAAATCACTGCCGGGAGCCCGAGCGTGCCCTGCTTATCTTGGGCAGTGGCAGTGGCAGCGGCTCAGCCAGAACGATTAGGAGGTATTTTTGGCCAGATGATGCTGGCGTAGCCACCCCAGGTAACAGGACAGAGGAGCGTAGGCAGAAGGTCAGGCCCCGCGCCCCCAGGCAGCCAGGGCGACGCCCCCAGCTCCTCCCAGAGGGCTTGTGCGTGCGCACGTGGGGCGCTTCACACATTTTACACATTTTCATTTTTACTTAGATACATACCTTTGAAGTTGTTACCCATCACTACATAGGGGGAATAGCAACCCTCGTGTCCATCAGCACATGAGTGGGTGAACAAAACGTGCCCGTCCAGACAGTGGACACTCGACAGCCGAGAAAATGAAAGAGATGCTGGCACGGGCTACAGCACCAAGGAGCTGTGTGGACGTCATGCCGCGGGGCCCTGTCTGATCCTCTCCTGGGAGGTCCCTGGAGTTCCCAGATCTGTAGAGACCGAACGCAGAATGGCAGGTGCCAGGCTGGGGAGAGGCCTTCAGTTTGGGAGGACTCTGGAGACCGGTGGTGAAGGTGGACGCACAGCTGTGGGAATGCGGTTCGTCCGTCGGACACTTAAAGATGGTGAAAATGGCAATTTTATGTATTATTTTACTACAATTAAATAAAATGGATTTTTTTAGAAAAAGGAAAAAGCAAAGTTAAAACTAACAAACATTTTTACCAGTTATCTGAGCTGGTGTTGAGAACCCAGGCCCCTTGAGGTGCCAAGCGCAGTGGCGGGGGCTGTGCTGGGCAGCCAGAATTTTCATCCCCCCACTGCCCGGATTCTGGTGAGATTCTGACACCCCCAAAATCCCACCCCGCCTCGCACAGCCCTGCCGGGGGTTCTGGTTTCTCAAGGGTTGGGGTGACACGTTTCTAGGGAGGCCCATGCGCAAGGGCAGGCGGTGGGGGCAGGGAAAGTTCCCAAGGACAGTGTCCCCCCACACCATCCCTGTCTTCCCTGCTGTTCCCTTGAGAGCTGGAGGGTCTGGCTCTCTGGAATGGGGGCTGCGTTGCCGTGGGCCCGGGGCACAAGGCAGAGAGGCTGGGAGACAGGGCCTCCACAAGGGTCTGGGAGTAGGCAGAGCCCCGCCTCAGGGAACCCATCCCCGCTTCGTGCCTGCAGCGCAGTGTGTGCCTGGCATGAAGCAGGCCTAGGGTGGGCGCTGAGCTGATGAAGGGGCCCCCTCTCATGCCCCCCACACTTGCACAACCCCATCAGGGACAGTGGCCTCCAAGGCCTGCAGGAAGACAGGACAGCCCCTCCTGAGTCTGGGGCACAGTTACCCCTTCCTAGGAGAAACTGCGCGGCTCCGGGGCTGACCCATGGGTGCTTCCAGGGTTCACCCCTCAGTGCTGGGCATGGCTGGGGCGGGCAGGGGATTCCCATCTGGGAAGGGTCCTTCCAGTCATCCATGGGACAAGGAATGTCCTAAGGCTTCTGGAACTCCCCCTTGTCCCTGCCTGCCACTCACTGGCTGTAAGCCCTTGAGGTCACACTGCCTCTCTGGGTCCCACAAAGTGGCATGGATCCTTCCTGTGCCCACCAATGCCGCTGCCTTCTCTTTCCACGATTACTTGAGGCCATATGCTTAAAGGACCTCTCAGCAGCATTCCACCGGAGAGGAATGTGAGGGTGACGATCCTGCTTGGGACTCGGCTGCAGGGGGATCCGCACACGGGCGCTGATGTCGGCCCTGCCCCCCAGCAAGTCCATGAGCTTTCCCGTGGGCCTCAGGGGCACAGCCCTCCACAGGCCAAACCCCTGCCAGGTGGCACCACTGCTGTCTGGGGACCGACACAGGGAACTCCACGTGTAAAGTCCAGGCCTTGGGACGGAGACAGCTGTGTCTGGGGACCACACTGGCCAGACACTTGGTGATAAATATTTGCTGGCCTGGACTCTTCTTCACAGAGAATGTGACAGAAACAGCCCAGCTGTCCCACTGCCTGCAAGATGAGGGATGCGGGGACGTGCAGGAGGCAGCTTGGGGAACGGTGGCGGGCAGCAGGAGGGTTGGGTGGACTCAGTGTCAAGGTCAGGATGCACCGAGTCTACCGTGCAGCACATGCTCTGAGCCACTCTTATTTCCTCTGAGTGAGGTGCAGCTGGCACCCAGGGAGCAGCACACATCTTAAATCTTTGCCGGGTGAGCTCCGAGCTCGGGCAGGCCCAGGAGCCCTTCGCGTCGAAGCGTGGCCGTTCCAAGCCCTGGAAGCCGTCTCTGCTGCACAGGGACTGCCGTCTGTGCTGGTGTGCACCCCAGGGTGAGTCCTGCCTGCCCTTGAGCTTCACGTAGACAGCATCATGCCGACCTCCTCCTGCCCTGCAGCCCACGTGCGAGATCATCCCTGGCGTGTGTGGTAGACACTCCCTGAAGGGACACGCCATCTGTGGCCCGTCGCCCACTGCCCTGCTGATGGGAATGTGGGCTGTGTCCAGTCTGGGCTCCCAGGAAGGCCTTTGTGTGTCTTTTGCTTAGTGTCTGTGTGTTTCTGTTGAGAGTGGGGTTTCTGGGTGGTGATGGAGGCGTGTCTGGAGTTTTCCACAGTGGCCGTGCATTCCACGGACCTCCAGTTGTGTGGGGAGGTACAGCGGCTGTGAGCATCTGGCCAGCACACCGTGGTGTCCCCGGCACACTGCCGACGGCGCGCGTCCCCCGGCGAGGTGGCATCTCCACGTGCTCCTCCATGTTAGTTCAAGTCTTTGCCCTCTTGTCCTCCGGGTTCAGCGTTTCCTTGCTGGTCTGTAAGCCGTCTTCGTGTGATCCGGACACTGCCGGTGGGGGGGCCCTGTGGACGGCAGGTGCCCACCCAGCTGCACCCGGGCTTGCTCCCCTGCCCTTGAGAGCGTCTTCTGAGAAAGAGAAGTGTGTCATTTTAGTGAAGACCACTTTGTCAGCCTTTCTCTTATGAAGAGCATGTTTGGGGCTGTGGCAGGGTCTGCAGCCATGATTCTGAGTGTCAATCTGTGCTCTCTGGCTTTGGGGCCGTGGAGGGTCCCCTCAGCCCCAGGGGGATCCACTGCACTCTGGGGGTGAAATTCAGGGGACCTGGTCAGGCCCTGCCAGCTGGGCAGAAAGGCCCTTGAGTGACCCCAATGACAGGCTGTTGACCTATGGGGGGGTCCCAGCTGCCTGGGCCATGGTGACACCTGTGCGCCTTCAGCCAGCTCAGACTGGATTTTTGCGGGGAGGCAGAAGCAGCCACAGGGGGCAGGTGGCCTGAGGGGAGGCCTGAGGCTACAGGGCCCAAAGCTGGGCACCGCCCCCCAGCCTGCCCATCACAGGACAGCGCCGGTGGACCCCATTTGTCCATTGCCTGGAAGGAATCGGGCGTGTTCTGGTCTGCACCCTGACATGCAGCCCTCCAGAGCCACCGCGTGCCTGGGATGGGGCTGTGTGGGTGGGGAGCCTGGCACGGGGTGGCTGAAAGGGTGCTGGGGAGAGGAAGGTGGCTCAAAGTCCGTTGTTCCCGTGCTTCCTGAAACGGTCGCTGCCCGACGGTCAGGGCTGAACCTCACCGCCCAACCAGGACCACAGCACCATGGGCGGCGAGCCGGCCGCACACAGCTGGAGGGGGTCATGGTGCAGCCAAGGCAGCACCAGAGCTTTCCAAAGGGCTTGTGTAACCTCGGCGTCACCCGGGCAGGGATGTGTGCGTGCCTGCGGCGTCCCCTGGGAGCTGGGGCCCTAGCGGGTGTCTGGGTACTGCTGTGCGGGGTGGGATCACGGGGTCCTCACCTTTAACGAGTGCTGGCCCTGATGAGCAAGTCCAGAAAACTCACCCCAAAAGGGCTCTGGGAAAAAGTGGCGGTAACTGAGGCCGGGCTTTGCAGTCCAGGTTCCCAGCTGAATGTTTAGAAAACGCAGGGGAGGTTGTGCAGGTGCTTCTCTGATCCCAGCAGAAAGCTGTAAAATGCAAAGCTGATGGCAGAACTCAGCCTTCCAGCGCTGCAAAAGCGACTCTGGCCCCTGCCTGTGTCGGCTCTCATCAGGAGGGCTTCGAGCTGCTGCAGACTGAGGGTGAGCACACCAGATGCGGGGCCACAAAACGAGGCAGGGCCCTCCTTTCGGGAGCAGTCGTCTGTGCCCCTCCCTCTCCCCCAGAACATTCCTCTGGGGAGGTCTGGCTCTGGGTGCTCAGTGTGGGTTGTGAGCCCCTCCCGCCGGGAGGCTGATGTCAGCGCCAGCTCTGCCTCTCCCGCCAGCCGGCCCAGAAGTTCAGCGAGACACGCCCACACCTCCCACAGCCTTGGAAGAAGCCACCAGAAACAACCTTGGTACCTGCAAGGCTGCGGGGCCAGCACATTTGATGTTATGAGCACAGCTGTTTACTGTTGTCTGGGTCCCCCACACTGTCTGATTTTTAATGGGTTCCATTAGAAATGGGTGAGACCAGGCTCTCTGAGGCCTACGTCAGGTCCAGGCTTTCTCCTTCCTCCTGGACTCATTCGAATTTCCTGGCAAGAGGCATCCCCCGGTCTAGAAAGGGGAAACTTCCCAAGACCTTTCACGCCCAAGGACGGCTTTGGCGGCCTTCGCATTTGGCCAACAGCTCATCTGTGTCTGGCGAGGGCGCGAGTCTGGGTCACACCTGTTTTTGGAGAATCCCTGGCGCTGCTGCCAGGAAGACTCTTCTGCCGGGTCTGGATGGCTGCCAGGCCTGCCCACGATGTTCTCAGATTGCACTGAAACGTTTCCCAGTGTGGGATCTTCTTATCTCTCTGTTCAAGGGGCTGAGGCCCATGGACTCCCCCTCATGTAACCGCCCAATGGGTTCACCTTGCCTGCTGCCCAGACAGAGCTGATGGATCAAGACAGGGGAATTACAGGGGAGAAAGAATGACTCACGCAGAGCTGGCTGTGCAGGAGACCGGAGTTTTACTGTCACTCAAATCAGGGGAATCGCAATAGGGAAAGAGGGATTCACGCAGAGCTGGCTGTGTGGGAGACCGGAGTTTTATTATTACTGAAATCAGTCTCCCCACACATTTGGGATCAGTTCTTTTTTTCTTTTTTTGAGACAGAGTCTCACTCTATCCCCCAGGCTGGAGTGCAGTGGCGTGCTCTCAGCTCACTGCAAGCTCCGCCTCCCGGGTTCACGCCATTCTCCTGCCTCAGCCTCCCGAGTAGCTGGGACTTCAGGCACCTGCCACCATGACCGGCTAATGTTTTTGTGTGTATTTTTAGTAGAGACGGGGTTTCACCGTGTTAGCCAGGATGGTCTCGATCTCCTGACCTCGTGATCCACCCACCTCAGCCTTCTAAAGTGCTGGGACTACAGGCGTGAGCTACCGCGCCCGGCAGGGATCAGTTTTTAAGGACAGCTTAGTGGGTGAGGAAGCCAGTGAGCCAGGAGTGCTGATTGGTCAGGTCAGAGATGAACTCATAGGGAATTGAAGCTGTCCTTTTGTGCGGAGTCTGTTCCTGGTGGGGGTCACAAGATCAGATGAGCCAGTCTATTGGTCTGAGTGGTGCCAGCTGATCCATCTAGCGCAACAAGGATCCGCAAAACATCTCAAGCATGGATTTTAGGAGCAGTTTAGGGAGGGTCAGAATCTTGTAGCCTCCAGCTGCATGACTCCTAAACCACAATTTCTTTAATCTTGTGGCTAATTTGTTAATCCTACAAAGGCAGTCTAGCCCTCAGGCAAGAAGGAGGTTTATTTTAACTATAAACTAAGTTCCTCCCAAAGTTAGTTCAGCCTACGCCCAGGAAGGAACAAGGACAGCTTGGAGGTCAGAACCAAGATGGAGTCAGGTCGGAACCCTTCCACCAACGGTGATAATTTTGCAAACTTGGCTTCACTAGTTGCTTCGTTGCTCCATCTCGGGCTGGTAGGAACCCCTTCCCTGGCTGCCTCCCCAGCGAAGGCTGCACCCCCACCCCCGCAGGCCAGGCCCAGCTCACCCCAGCCTGCTCAGTGGCCCCTCGCAGTACGCTCCCCACCAGCCCCCCAGCCCATCCCCACGGCTCTGGGGTTTGAGCAGGACCCTCCGCGGCTCTGAGACAGAGCCAGCAAATCCCTGATCTCATGGTGTTGCTGGGGTCGGGGGCGGCATCCATGAGGGTTGGCCTCGTCTTCCAAACCCAGCTCTTTATGACGTCTGAGAGAGGATTGGCCACATCGTGTCCTGGGCTCTGCTTCCATTTCTGAAGGGCTGCGTGTCTGCCAGGTTGGGAGGTTTTGAGCCCATCTGGACCCTGGCATGGCCTTTCCCCCTGAGCCGACAGCAAACATTTGCCCAAGCTTCACGGGAAAGAAGTCACCTGTGGAGCAGGAACGAGAGCTGGCGGGGGGTGGGTGGGCTTCTGGGCAGCTTGGACTTCAGAGGAGATGCGAACCTTCCCTGTGTCTGCAACTCACGGGCGTCCGTGTGAGATTCTGAGTAACATTATGTGAGTTACACTTTGAGAGAAGGAAAGCCACACACGTGGTCTAAAAATCCTGGAGCCTCCTGAGTGAGGGGAAGAGTGTGTCGGACTCATCCACGGAATCTTCCAGAGGGAACTTGAGCGAAGACTCAGTGTCCGTGAATTACAGGACTGAGAGCTTTGTCGCTCAAGCTTGACCTTCTGTTGGCGTCACTTACAGTCTCAGACACAGATGGTCTGAGACGAGCTCTGTGGGAGGGGAGGCCCCTTCTATTCCCAGATTCAGCTCCATGGGATGTACCCCTGCCCAGCAGGCACAGGACCCGGGGGAGGCTCAGAACCCCACGTACCTGGCCACTGTGCAGACAGGCTCCCCAGCGCCAGGCCAGGCCCACCATCCACCAGGCCCAGAGGCCCCGCCCTGGGCAAGCCAGGGATCGGGGCGGGGGGCAGCTTGCGGTGCCTGCCTGGGAAGAGCCTGGCATTGTTTGCAGAACCCTTGGGACAGGGCTGCTTCTTCAGGGGAGATGCAGCCATGGGCCTGGGGCTGTGGCTGGGGTCTTCTGTCATCCCTGCCTACCACAGCTCCCTTCGAGCCCCCACAGGTGGTGGCGGATGTGGGGCTTTAGGGCCACCCTGGCCATGGGCAGAATTCTCGGCCCTGGTGGGACTCCTGGGCAGGGAGAGTGTGGGTCCCACAGGTGGCCGGAGACTCTGCTTCCTCCACTGATGTCCACATACCCCACCCTGCCAGGAGAGGCTCACCACGCTTAAAAAAAAAAAGGTTTGTTTTTTAAAAATCACTTTAGCCTTGGGTAACTGGGGCCTCCCTTCCCTCTCCTCCCTTCCCACCTCTTTCCTTTCCCTCCCCCTTCCCCCGATTCTCCTTCCTCCCCTCTCTCTTCTGCTCTGCCCTATTCGCTCTCTCCCCCACTCACCATGGGTGCTGGGCCAACAGGCAAGAACCTGGGTGGGTGCCCGGCCCTGCCAGGCAGAAGGCGGGTGGCTTTCTGGTGAGAAGGAGTGTGGGGCCTCCAGGGCCGGCCTCCTCCAGGTGTCCCCTTCCCTGGACACGGAGCTCTCCACGGACACTCTGCCTGCCAGCCCCACCTGCATCCTTCAGCCCTGGAGGTGCGCCCTGCCTGATACCCGACAGCAGGTTCCCAGCCCAGAAGGATGCAGATGGCGCACCAGGAGATGAGCCCCCCACCCTAACAGGAAAGCAGAAGTGGACTGGGGGGACCCGCGGACCTGGGGAGAAGCTCCGTGGGCAGAGGCACACAGATACCTGGAGGCAGCCTGCGTCTGGTGAGAGCCCTCCCAGGCCACAGCCCTGATTCCAAGCCGTGGGCACGAGCGGCCTCCTGGCTTGGAAGCTGGCATTGGGTGTCCGTCCTAATCCATTAGAAACTCCACCCCAGGGTGGCAGGCAGCAGGGACTGTTTCGAGAATCTACACACAGAATGTAACCACCATCGGCTACACTTTCGCACTAAATCCCAGGGTTCCCCTGGCTGTGCCCTGCACACGGCCAAGAGGCCATCGCAGATGACCAGGCTCACATCATAAGGATGCGAGATTGCATTTGAAGAGGCCCCCTGGGCAAAGCTGGACACCGATGCTTGGAAAGGGCACTAATGGTGATCGACTGAGACCCACCAATGTGTTTCATCAGCGATGTACAAATATACTTGGGAGATTGTCGGGAACCAATTCACCGTTGTGGAAACTGACAAATGAGGGAGAGGCACCCTTGCCCTGCCTTTCCTGTGGGCACCATTATCCAGATGGCCAGACGGACAAGATGAGCCTCTCCCTCCAGTGAATTCATGACGAAGCCACCACGCACTGGAAAATCACCATTTTGCTCCATGAATCTGTCGATTCAGACATCAAGCACCAACGACTGCGGACGGAGGAGCTACCACCAGACAGTGCGTGGCTCCCTCTGCGAGCCCCCGGCCTTGCCAGGGGACTGGACCCGGATCCCAGCAGTCCCCTGGCTCCAGGTGCCCACTTCCAGGAGACGCAGAGGCCTGCACCGAAAGATGCAGCTCCAACCCAGGCCTCGGGTACCTCCACGTGTCCGAGGGCCACTTCCTACAACAGGTGCCGGGTACAGAAAAGGACAGAGGGATGGAGGTGGGTAGGAAGAGAGCACTGAAAGTCACACAACGCACATTTAACCCCAGGCTGCCGTGTGGGAGGATATACGTGGACACGGAAACCCACAGAGCGAAGGGAGGGGCCACCAGACCCCTAGGGATGGGCTACTGATGGGATGGGAGGGGCCTGCAGCGGCTTCTGGGCTCCGGCAAGGGTCTCTGTCTTGACCCGCAGGTGCTTACAGGGTGCTGATCCCTGTCGTGACTCACCTGATTAGAATGCAAAAGGCAGCAGACCTCACCCCCCACCCGAGGTCTCCCACAAGTAAGATCTAAGATTTAAACAAGAGAAGCCACCTGCCTTCTGCCTGGCAGGGCTGGGCACCCACCCAGGTGCTTCAGCCATGGCCCCTGGTCCTAGTCAAGATTTTGTAATCACAGAGAAGACCACCCTCGGAGCTGCCACAGGACCCTAAACTCCTGGGCCTCAGTTTCCTCCTCTGTAAAATGAAGCTGATGAGTCCTGAGTCCGGGAGCTGGCCCTGGCCACAGACCCTCCAAACCAGCTCCTCTGAAGGTCCACAGCCAGCACATGGCGGGCAGCCGGCCCTGGGGTCCTGGGGTGTGAAGCAGAGCTTGGATGTGCGACGGGAGCCCTGCACATCTGTTGCTCCTGCTGGCATCACTTGGGAAGGCCTCGTGCCCACCCTGAGCTCTGTCCAACCCTCGGGAATAGCGCTGGGTGGCAACCAGGGTTGAATGTACAGAAGCCCCTGCTGGGGTGACTGAGGAGAGGGTTTACCCAGCACCCTAAGTGTGAACCCTATAATTGACCCCATTGGGCACTTCTGTTCCCACCCCCTGGATCTTTTTAGCAAAGCCAGCCCTCCTCATAAGGATGCCTGGGAACTATTTTATCTTCTGGGGAGGTGATGGTTTCCTACCTTCCAACCCACTGACCCAGGGAGGCAGCTGACCTAGCACCATCCACAGCCCTGAGCTCCCTTTGGTGGGAGGTGGGGTGAGAGTGTGGAGCAGGCACAGCTCCAGACACCCAGGCCAGAGGAACCCCCACCTCTGCAAGGGCTGGTGCTGGATGGGCGACGTTCCAGGAGGGTCCCAGGCCTACAGCTTCTGCCCAGAAGAGTCCATGGGGCAAAGGGGTAGAACCCTAGGCCACCCCAGGGCATGACTGGCTTTACTGGAAATGGCTGGAGAGGTTGGGCTTGCGTTCCTTGAACCCACAGAGCCCGGTGATCCCACAGCCCGGAGGCCATCACTCCCCTCCAGCTGCCTTTTAGGATTAGACAGGCAAGCGGCTAAAACATGGCCAGGCCATACCCATTTTCCACGTGACAAGAGGCTGTGGCCGTGTTTGCCCACACCACCTGTGTTTCTGCTTTGTTGTCGTACAGCAGTTGTGGGTGATTAGGAATAAAGGCTGACTCATTGCACCTGTGTGCCATAGCATTTTAGCCCAATTCCCCATTGACGGACATCTGATTGTTCCGTTTTTCATGAGTCATTTGTTGAGAAATGTGCCAGGTGCTGGCCGGTGGTATCCTGGTGTCTGCCTGGTGGGTTCTGGAACTCCACCTTCCCTGCATCACCCTGTGAGCTTCTGGAACATTTCCCAAGGAGGGAAGGGAGGGTTCTAGGGCAGGGGCCGCGGGGCACTCCTGGGGCAGGTGTGGAGGAGACTGGGGTCTTCGTGGGTGGTATTTGTCATGGGTGGGGGGGGGGACTCCCTCTACTGGGTTAGGTCCCTAAACTGGAGCTGGACCAAGCTCCGGAGTACCCCACCCCCAGGCTATCCAAGGCTCCTTCCACTGGAGTTGCCTTTGCAGCCAGGTTGGGCTAGCCAGGAGCCAGGCTAGGAGCCCAGGGTCTGAGCGGGTGTTGACAGCCTGGAGTGGGTGGGCGGACTGTGTGGGAGGTGGGTGCTGGAGGATGGCAGGGGGGAACAGGAGGGGGAAGAAGGAGGGGTAGGGGGCTGGAGCAGGAAATGGGGGGCAAACAGGAGGGGGTGCGGGAGGGGGCGCAGAAGGAGGAGGGGCCCAGCAGGAGGGGGTGCAGAAAGGGCAGGGGTTCCAGCAGGAGGGGGTTCATAGGGGCAGGGGGGCCCAGCAGGAGGGGGTGCAGGAAGGGTGGGGGGGTGCAGGAGGGGTGAGGGGTTCCAGCAGAAGGGCGTGCAGGAGGGGCAGGGGGCTGGAGCAGGAGTGGGGGGTCGGGGAAGGGGACAAGAGGGGAGGCGGGGAGGGGGCCGGGGAGGGCGGGGAGGGCGGGGAGTTCCAGCAGGAGGGGCAGGGGGCTGGAGCAGGAGGGGGTGCAGGAGACTGAGCGGGGATTCGCGGGCTCTGCGATGGTCGGGAGCGCAGGCAGCGAAAGCCCCGCGTCCCGGGTCGCGGCGGTCAGACAGACGCAGCCTGGGTTGGGGTCCCTGCAGGAAGTCGCCGCGGGCCAACTTTTCGTGGGGCCGCGGGGCAAGCAGGTGAAGTCACGTGGCCCGGGCGGGGCGGGGCGGCTCGGTCGGACCCCGCCCCTGCCTCCAAGTCCCGTGGCGTCGGCGGGAGCGGCGCAGCGCGGGCCGGGCCGGGACGGGGACTGTCGGCTGCAGGCGGCCATGCCCACCAACTTCACCGTGGTGCCCGTGGAGGCTCACGCCGACGGCGGCGGGGACGAGACTGCCGAGCGGACGGAGGCTCCGGGCACCCCCGAGGGCCCCGAGCCCGAGCGCCCCAGCCCGGGTGAGCGCGGCCGCACCTGGCCGGACAAAGGCCGAGCGCCCCGAGCGCGGGTCTGGGCCCGGCATCCGGGAGCGGAGGCGGGCGGCGGGGCCGGGGGTACAGGAGGCGCCCCTTCCCGCGCCCCCACCGCCTGTTCTCGGTCCCCCACGAGGGCCCCCACCCCACGTTAGTGGCAGCGCTAGGGGGCGAGGGGCCCTGCCAGGGCTCCCGGTACGGTCAGCTCGGGTGGGACCGGGGGCAGAGGTGTGGACGCCGCTGCTGGTAGCCATGGAAACGGGGAGGGGCTGGAGCGCGCCTCCGGAGGGAGCCCGGGCCCCTGGGTGGTCCCTAGTGGGACAGGGGTGGCGGTGGAGACCCGGGCGGTTCGGGAGCCGGGGCGTCCTGCGTCCCCCGCGCTCTCCCTTCCCCTGCGCCGCGGCCGTCCGGTAACACTAGCCCGGGCCGGCCCGTCCTGCCCCCGCCTGACCCTGGAGGAGCCGCCCACCCCCCAGAGGCGGAACAGGAAGGACTGCGCCCTGGCTGGGGAGGGGGCAGCCACCGGGGCCTTGCTCAGGCCGCGTCCTCCGTGTTCCCGTCCCCCGTTCCGGGAATCTGGAGGTTTCTAGCACTTTCACTTTCTCTAGGGGGTGGGGACGGGGCTGGGGAGAGAATCCCCCAGCCCTGTTCCCTCCATCCTGGCTCCAAATCCCAGTTACTCCCCGGATCTCAGCCCCCTCTAGAAACCGGAGGCTCTTAGGCCCTTCCATCCGGAGTCTCTGAGAAGGTGTCCGGACTCAGTCCAGCCCCCACCCCGCGTGCTGGCAGTGCCCGCATGTGCCCGGGTCTCATGCAGTGGGTGGCAGCCTCCCTGCTCCCTGGCAGTGGAAGGAAGGTGAGGTCTGTCCAGGGACAAGTCCGGTGCCAGACCCCAGATCCTTCCTAACCCACCATCCCGGGCAGGAAAGGCCAGACATCCCCTCCAGGCAGTTTAGGAACCCGGAGACACGGGTGGGGACCCACCGTGAAGGCAGTGGCCTGGTGGCCTGGGGTGCGTCATCAGGGTCCCCGTGGCGGGCGAAGAGTGGTCTCAGCTTCCTCTGCACAGAGGCCAGCCCAGATCTTGGAAGTGGTCAGGCGGGGCGCCAGGCTCAACACCAGGTGAAGTGCTAACTAAGCAGGGTCCGTGAGTCCAAGCCCCTTCTCTCCAGTCACCACCGTGGAGGCAGGAAGCACCAAGGAGTGTGGGCCCTGGCGTGGTCTTTCTGTGTGAGCTTTGTAGCAACGCCCCCGGAACGCACTCAGAAGGAGCCTCTTCTTGTCTGGCCGGCCCCTTCTCAAGGCTGATCAGGTTCACTTTTGTCTTTAGACTGTAAGTGTCATTTGCTTTTAAGCCAGAGAGAATTTTGTGCTTGTTCGTTTTCTTGTCTCTTCTACTCTCAAGGCTGTTGAGCAGTGCCCTGGGCCTGTGTCTGCCCAGCAGGAAGTGGCCCTGGCTGAGCGCTGCCCATGTCGCTGCCCGCGCACTCAGGTCCTGCTACGGGCGTGTCAGGAGGCTCCCTGGCCTTCATGAAATTGAGAACGGGAGGGCATGGGCCAGGTGTGGGCTTCTGGACACTTTTGAGGGTGGCCCTGTGGTGTGAGCTGAACTTGGGAGATTTCTCCGAACTGGCAGAGAACTTGCACCTGGCGCTTTTGTGCTGGACCCGCTTCCTACTTCCACAGAAAGGGCCCGGTGCCCAGCCACTGCCAGGCTGTAACGGGCACGCAGCTGCCCTTCGGAATCCACTTGATCACATCCTGATCTTCAGCCCACAGAGGTGCGGCGAGGAGTCCCGTGATGGGCACGGAGCCTGGGGAAGGAGGCACAGGCTTTGCTTTTTGGTGGTGGTTGGGGGCGGGGGTCCTGCAGAAGCCGGAGCCCCTCCCAAAGGCCTTCTGTGTGGGGTCCACACCACAAGGTCACAGGCCAGGTCCAAAACTGTCCGGCCACAGAGTTACCAGCACCCAAGCTCTTCCTGACTCCATTGCCGTTCCCCTGAACGGTCTGTGGAGGTACTGGAGCTTCTGGGCTGGCGCCTGGGTGACGGCGAAGCAAGTTTGGGGGGCCTGGTGGGCTGATCCTAGGCACTGCCAGGTGGGCGTGGAGAGGGCGTCCTGAGCCACCCCAACTTGAGGAGCAGGGGCCTTGGTGTCCCCAGCCTGGGTTGGGGGGTTCTGGGGAAAGAGGGGTAGATGCTGCTGCCCGGGCTGCCTGGCTCGACCCAGAGCCCAGCAAGGCCGCGTCTGCCCAGCCTGGCTCCAGGGGCCTTCTGTCCCCGACCCCTGCAGCTTCCCTGCTGCTTCTGGTGGAGCCTCTGCGGGAGGCGTCCTGTCCCGGGGATGGGCACTGTGCCCTCAGCACTTCTTGGGACGGAGCTTTTATTCTTATGTGAAATACCTCGTCTTGAAATGAGAAGGACGTGTTAACCCTCAGTTTCTCAGTGGGGTGGTTTTTTGAGAGTAGGAGGTGGGAGGACACTGCTGGGGGCCGGCTGCGTCTCGTCCGACTTCAGGGTAGAGTGGGTTTTGTAACTGACTTGGGGGAGCCCACCCTTCCTCCGTGACCACATCAGGGTAGACTCACTCCTTCCCAGGTTGTAGGGGTGCGTCCAGAGGCCTCGGAGACCCTGGGAGGGGTGGGAAAGGAGGGCTGGCCAGTGCCCCGGCCTGTCTGGAAGGTGCAGCGTGCAGAGCCTCTGTCAAGGTCCCACAGGCCCTGGCCACCCACTGTCTAGGAGGGACTTCCACTCGTCTGGGGCTCCCTGGGCTGGGAGAGGGTGGGTCCTGCCTTGTACCCCCAGGTCTCCCACCCTCAGCTGGGGCTCTCCCAGGTTTGCCGGGAGCTTCTTCCTGGCTTGGGCGCCACTTCCCTCTTTGGGTTCCGTTTCTGAGATTTTCCACTGTGGCTGAGCTCGTGTCGGTTGTCCAGGGGCGGTCCTGCCTCCCTCTGCCCCTGGCCGCTGACAGAGGCCCGGTTGCGTGGTCAGTGGCCTGCCCGTCCCTCCTGCTCCAACTACCTACCGTGTCCGTGTTGGGAGCCCCCTCCCAAAATCTGAGGACAGCTAGAGCTGCCGCTTTGTCCTGGGCCGTCCTCGCCTGTCGGGTGCTGGGTGCCATGCTCTGCACTGCCCTTGGGAATGGCGAGACGGTGCACGCCGGTCGTGCTGATCTGGGGTCCCCTTTGGGGATGCAGGGACTTGGGGGATCACGCATTAGATAGGGGGACCACACACAGAGCGTCCAGGTTCTGTCCTGCCGAGTAGGGACAGAGAGCTCTCGTTGTGCCCAGATTTCAGGAGGGCGTTCCCGACACGGACATGGGAGGCAGTCGGAGCAGGAGGGACAGGCAGGCTGTTGACCCCGCGGCTGTGCCCGGGAGCCCCTGCAGCAGCTGGGCACTGCGTTGCGGGAACGGAAGGTCATGGGTATGTGGTGAGCAGGCAGGGAGGCTACAAGACATGCATTTTGTGTATCGAGTTCCCTTTTTAAAACCAAAGGAAACAAGATACACAGGAACGCCGTGGCTGCTGGGCATCCAGGCCGGGGCCTGTGCTTCCTCCTGCGCCTGACATACTCCCAGGCTGTCTCCCGGCAAGAGGCTCTCCTTAGCAGGCATGCGGTAAAGCATGGTGCTTTAGGTCAGCTGGCCGGGTCCATGTGTGCGGGCACCTATGTGCCTTGTGAGCGTGCAGGTGTATCCACGTGTGAGCCATGTGCTTGCACTGTGTATATGTGCACATATATGTACACACGTGTGCATACATGTGTACTGTGCTCTTGCACAGCTGTGTGCTGTGGGCATGCTCACGTGTGTGTGTGTATGTGTGTGTTTGTATGCTGTGGCAGGTAGAGAGGGGCTGGGGCTTCCTCCACAGCAGAGGGTCACGCGGTGTTGGGTGTTGGGTATCCGTTCCCTCCCCCTGGTCTAGGCCCATCAGTGAGTGGTGAGGGGCTCCCTCTCCTGGTGTGGCCTCGTGTTCAGGTCTGAACCTGCTCCTGGGCCTCTGATCATATGAGGAGACCTTTGCCTCGTGGACTCAGGTTCATGGTTTCCTCTTCTGCAAAGCTCCCCAGGCTTCTCTGAGTGGGCGAGGCCAAACGGATTCCACGGTGGTTTTCTGTCTAGCGTTGGACACCAGATCCCCTTCTTAGAGTGCGTGGCTTTCTCAGTGCCTCTCCCGTGGTCTGGATGGCTGTCGGGAAGGTGGTGCCAAGGGGAGGGCCAGGTGCTCAGGCCTGGGTGCAGGGCGGCTGGTCGGGGCCGAAGTCACACAGGTTTGCTGGGGATCGGTGAATGTCGGAGACCTTGCCAGGTGGTGGCTGGAGTCAAGCAGAGGCACCTGAGGGACCCTGAGGGTGAGTTGGGGGCTGTCCTCCCCTCATGCCCGGCAGTGAGTGGGCCGTGGAGTGAGGCCACCTCTGTCAGGGCCTCTGCCCTTTGGACGTGGGGCCACGTCCTACACAGCTCCCTGGACCTGACCCAGGGATTCCCAGATGGCCCAGGCTCCTGCATGGGGGATGGGTGGCCTTTGTAAAGCACAGAAAGCGACCCAGGTGGGCCTCAATCACTTGAGAGGTTTATTTGCCGAGGTTAAGGCTACGCCTAACACAGAACCACGGGGAACTCCTGTGGTCCGGCTTTTCTTCTCAAAGAAGGCTGAGAACTTGAATATTCAGAGAGTAAAGCGTGAGTATTAGGGGAAGAAAGAAAGAGAAAGAAGAGGGAGGGCAGATAAGAGGCAGGCAGCGTTTGATCAGCGTTCACTGAACCCGTGTGTTACACATGGGGGTAAAGGAAGAACCCCTCACGGCTCACGCTTAGTGACTCTGCACATTTACCTTCGACACAGTCAGTACAGGGTGGGCGAAGCAGTGAGGTGTGCGTTTGCCTCCGGCGAGCAGAGCAGCAACTCCTGGTTCTGTCCTTGGTCCCACACCCGTGAGGATGAGCTGTCATTTCCACCGTCAGTGTGAGTTTCATCACAACTGCTTTAGTGTAAGGATCCTGTGGGTCCTAAAATATGAGGGAGGCCTGCAGCTTTCTACACAGGAAGAAAATGGAAGGCAGCTTGCGTGACCCGGTTCCCAGCCTGACTCTTGCCTGTGGCTTAGTGTGTTTGGGTCCCGAGATCCTGTTTTCCTTTCATACCTTGGACCAGGGAGCCTTCCCAGGGCTGCTGTCCTTGGGCACTGCAGACACATCCCGACGTGGCACCGCTGGGCACAGCACTGGGAGTGGAGGTCAGCCCAGGGTGACCCCCCAGCTGTGAAGGGCACGAGTGGAGCCGACACCCCAGGGATGGATGGCGTCTGTGAGGCCAGCTGGCTGCCCGGAGGGCTCTCCTGTTACCATCCCTGTTGGAATATGAATTTTCTTTTTTTTTTTTTTTTTTTTTTTGAGACAGAGTTCACTCTGTCACCCAGGCTGGAGTGCAGTGGCACAGACTCAGCTCACTGCAACCTCTGCCTCCCAGGTTCAAGCGATTCTCGTGCCTCAGCCTCCCGAGTAGCGGGGACCACAGGCACGCACCACCGCGCCTGGCTAAGTTTTATATTTATAGTGCAGATGGGGTTTTGCCATGTTGGCCAAGCTGGTTTTGAACTCCTGGCCTCTAGTGGTCTGCCCACTTCGGCCTCCCGGAGTGCTGGGATTACAGGAGTGAGCCACCATATCTGGCCAGAATATGAATTTTCTAAGCTGTGCCTTAGACCGAGGTCTGGAGGGCAAAGTTTGATGTTTGACGTTAAGTATTAACCACAGTTCCTGGCTGGGTGCTTTTGATTTCAACCGGCTCCATCAGCTGAGTGTTTCTGAGGGTGGATCCCAGAGTCATTTTGTGACGGCCGTGTGGTGGGTGGGGCAGGAGTCCCTGGGTGCTGGGGAGTGTGAGGCCCGCCAGGGCCTTGAGGGGTAGACCTCCCCCTCCCACTGTGGGGCATGGGAACCCCGTGGAGCCCAGTGGGGCTGGGCGTGGACGGCATTCAGGAGTGGACCAGCTGGTCTTCAGGGCAGTGGGCTGGGCTGGGGGTGTCTGGGGCCTGGTGAGCAGCTGGCTGGGGGCCCTCCTGGTAACTGACATGGGGGGCTGGTCTCCTTTGGCCTTCCTTCTCAGATGCTGGGGAAGTGCTGCCCAGGGACAAGGGCAGAGCACAAAGGGTTAATACCTTTCCTTTATGAAGAAAGGGGAAACTCCCTTTTGGGGGCAGAGGCCTGTTCTGTGCAGATAAACCTCTGGCTTCAGCGCAGCAGCCTGAACGATGAGCTCCTGAACGATGAGCTGCCTGGCTGGCCATGCTGTCCAGGCCCTGCCTCTTCCCCTGTTTGTGGCCGCTGACTCCCCAAGGGTCCTGGAGCCTCTGGCCGGGAGTGCCGGGGGGCAGGCCCACGGCAGGGTCCCCTTTGGCTGGTGGGTGACTGCAGGACCTCATCCCTGTGGGGAGGGTCCTTTTGGCTGGTGGGCGACTGCAGGACCTCATCCCTGCAGGGAGGGTCCCCTTTGGCTGGTGGGTGACTGCAGGACCTCATCCCTGCGGGGAGGGTCCTTTTGACTGGTGGGTGACTGCAGGACCTAACCCCTGCGGGGAGGGTTCCCTTTGGCTGGTGGGTGACTGCAGGACCTCATCCCTGCGGGGAGGGTCCCCTTTGGCTGGTGGGTGACTGCAGGACCTCATCCCTGCGGGGAGGGTCCTTTTGACTGGTGGGTGACTGCAGGACCTCATCCCTGCGGGGAGGGTCCCCTTTGGCTGGTGGGTGACTGCAGGACCTCATCCCTGCGGGGAGGCTCCTCTTTGGCTGGTGGGTGACTGCAGGACCTCATTCCTTCGGGGAGGGTCCTTTTGACTGGTGGGTGACTGCAGGACCTCACCCCTGCGGGGAGGGTCCCTTTTGGCTGGTGGGTGACTGCAGGACCTCACCCCTGCGGGGAGGGGCGTGTGCTGCCGTTGCAGGGGTCTCGGGGTCCGAGTGGTGCTTGCGGCCCTGGGCTGTGACGTGGGCCCCCATCCTGCCAGCCCGTGCCTGTTTCCGCTCTCCCCTTGGGCGGTGTCTTTTTGAGGAAACAGTTGTGGGGAGGAGAGTGCTGCTTCTGAATCACGTGTGGACCTGGGGTGGTTTGTTTCCTGCGTTCTGGGGTTTTCTTGGGCAGCACCCCACACGCACCCCACACGCACCCCCCGGTGGGCCTCGGCTCTGTGGGGAGTGGTCCTGGGGTCCGGGATGAGAGTGGGCCCCGCCCAGGCCTGTGTTGACCCCTGGAGTCAGATTGCCATCCACTGTAGTGGTTACAGTGGCTCTGGGAAGTTTGGGGGCTGGGACCTGAGCCCAAGGCTGGCCATGGATAGCCGCACGCAGCATGCCCGTGTGCTTGGTTGGCATGCCTGGTTTGTGTGTCTGCCATGGCCTGGAGCTGTCCTCATGGTGGGGTAGCCCCGCTGGCCCTCCCAGCGTTCCTGTCCATTTAAGTCCCGTGCACAGGGGATGTCCACCTTGCAGACGTGCAGCCGGGAGGAGGTTGTTAAAGTGATCCTTGAACATTTGCTCTGTGCCTCAGTTTCCCTTGGCAGGAGCCAGCCTGTCACGAGGGTGGCGGTGGCTGTGACCTCTCATCTCCTTGGCTCTGTCTGCAGACCTCTGGCGCCAGCGGGTCGGGCCTGGGCTTTCAGGGAGGCTCAGAGACGCCCTGGGCAGTCACTGGGGAGGGATTGAGTGGAGTGGAAATCGGAGGAGGGAAGTGCGCCAGGCCAGGCCCCTCCTGGGTCCCCTCCATGCCGCCAAGGGTCCCCGACCGCAGCCCAGAGGCAGCCTGTAACAGGAGCCGCCCTGGGAGGGCCTGGCAGGTGCGCTGGGGGCCCTGCCTCTCCCGCCTTCCTTCATCTCTGCTCCTGCAGGCTGCCTGGGCCCCGAGTCTCTGGAACTAGGGGACCCCACGGCCCCTCCATGGCTCAGACGTCACTCTGGCTGCTGAGGGAGGAGGCTGGACCAGGACCAGCAAACAGCCACGTGACAGAGGGTTCGGGAAGTGAGTTCACCCGAGGCCACCTTCCCGCGAGCAGGCGTGTCCTTTAGATGGAAGGGCTGTAGTCCCAGTGCATGCCTGTGTCCTGGGCACCCCGCCCCGTGGGTCGTGCAGTCTGGGGGCTGTAGCCCCTGGGACTTTGTGCAGATGTGTGTGCTGCAGGTATGTGTGTGTGTACACGTGTATGTGCGGGTGTTGGTGTGTGTATGTGACTGCGGGTATGGGTATGCACATGTGAGGACAGGTGCGTGTGCAGGTTTGCGAGGTGAGTGTTGTGTGTATGAATGAGGGGGGAAGCGTGTGAGTATGGGTATGGAGAGTGTCTTCCGTGTGAGCAAGTTTGCGTGTGCACGTGGAAGTGCCTGTCTGTGCATGTGTACACATGCATGTCTCTGTGCATGTGAGTGTATATTTTCTGTGGCGTGTGTTCATGTGTGTCTGGCCATAGCTTGCCAGGACCTTCCAGCCAGGCTTCCTTGCTTCCAGTGCCTCTGACGGTGAGCTGGGATCTCCCGGCGCTCTCCTGGTTTACAGGATACTGGCGGTGGTGTCTGCACAGACTGTTGGGATGAGGTCACTTCGGGAATGGGTGATGAAGGGCCTGTTTTTCCCTCAGAAGGCAGCGCTGCTTTAGCCAGAAACTTGTGCTGGAAGCCTGAGAGCTTGCCTGAAGCCCCCCGTGTCCCAGCCTGAACACTGGGCCGTTCTCATCCTGTGCCCCTTGAGAGCCTCAGTTTCTAGATTTTAGGGGCCCACACAGCACAAACTGTGAGGGGCAGAGGGAGGGCAAGGGCCAGGGGTCGTCAGCTGGCGTTCGGATCCTGGAACCTAAACACACTTTATTTCAGTGCCCGGCACCTTCACAGGGAGCCCAGCCTCCAGGCAGTGGGGTTGGGAGTGTTCCTGGGTCCTCGCGCCTTCACAGGGAACTCAGCCTCCAGGCAGTGGGGTTGGGTGGGGGGTGCTCCTGGGTCCATTCAGTCTCGGGCTGTCCCCAGAGGCCACGTGAGCTGATGCCACTGGGTCACCAGGTGGGACTCATTCTGCTGTGAGTCCCCTGTGGCTCCAGGGGAGGGTGGCCTGCTGGACCCAGGGGACACACAGAGCCAGGCCTGAGAACCTCCTCGAGTGCAGGGAGCCGGGAAGCCTGGACTTGCTTGTCCCCTGCCCCAGGCCCGGCGCCTCTCTGTGTGCACAGGTCCGGTGCCACCCGCCACTGCTCTGCAGGGCTGGGTAGCTGGACGGACCACCCACGCTGGAGGGCAGGAAGGGGCGGAGGCTGTCGGACCTGGCTTCAGCTTCACAGCCCCTCCTGCCTGTCAGCTGCTTCCGGCTGAGGCTGAGTCTAAGAGGACGTTCCTAGAGCCCTTTGCGGAGAATGGCTGTAAAATCCCAAAACGCGGGAGGAAGAGGGGGAGGGATGAGCCACTGAGAAAGGGAGGAGGTTGTGCCTGGAGATAGGGAGGCTGATGGAGGCATTGTGATCTCAGAGGGGATTAGGGCCGATTAGGGAGGTGAGCCAGCTTCTCCCTGCAGAAACTACCCATGAACGCACTTCCCAGGCCTGGATCGGGATGGGTCAGGGATCTGACACACACACTCTCACTGCCTCTCTGGCTGGAGGGGCTGCCCCTCCTCTGGCCGGGACACTCGTGTGTCTGGTCTTTGCCCTTCCACCTGCAGCCGCCTCCTTCCCTCTCGGGGTGGGGACACAGCCTGGTTGGACAAGCCCAGGAGGCTGTTCCCCAAGGGCCCAGCCCATCAGGATCTGCTTACTGACCACAGGGTCTGCATTCACTTTGTTGATAAGGTGTCTGGAAAACTAACCTAGAGTGAAAAACAGACCGGAGGTTGCCTCTGTGGCTGGGGGGCTTGGCAGGGAGGGAGCTGGGGAAGTGGTGGGAGGCTCTTGGTAGGTCCGGTGAGCAGGGGCAGGCCTTTGTTAATGCTCAGCAGATAGACGTTCTCTTGCCCAGGCGGCTGCAGCCAGAGAAAACTCAGCAAAGCGGCTCCGGAGGGCCACAAGGCTGCTTAGTGTCGGGGGGTGGAGGGGGGTCGGGGCAGTGGTGGCCACTGTGTGCCATGACATGCATCAGACCAGGGCTGTGTGGGGCGGATCTGTGCGTGGACAGCTAGCACCCATAGGGCTGCACAGGGTGTCTGCCCACTTGCTTACCTGGGGTCGTTTTTATAATAAAATGAAGAGGTAGAAAAAATAAGACGAGAAAAAACTGACTTGTGGCCAGTTCTTCAGGCCAGGGCTTGACCTCGCCGCCTTCATGGCTGAGGAGGAGGGCAGCATTGGTCAGCCTGGTGTTGCTGGTTCTCCACCAGCGGCTGTCGGCCTTTGCTGGCTATTGGGAGGGCTCCTCCAAGGTCTCAGGGACCCACCAGAGGCTGTGGTTCTGGGGCCTGGACCCAGGTCGGGCCTGCTGGCCAGACGCTGTCAGTCCCGGGCACGTCTGCTTGGGGCAGGTTCTGTTGAGACCCTGGCCCCTGGGGATAGGTCAGCCTGGTGCATGGGGTTCATGAAGGCACCAGACAAGCTGTGAGCAGAGCTGCTGCTGGAACTGCTTTAAACCTGGAGGGACGGGCACCGGTGACAGTGACCAAGGCCCTGTCCCAGTGCAGGTGGGCAGGGCAGTCCACCCAGTGCCAGCTGCTTAGGGCCGCTCGGGGCAGGTGAGCGAGGAGGGGCCTCTGGGGAGAGGGCGCTGAAACAGGCTGTTCCCAGGTACGAGGCGGGCCGAGGCCGGGGCTGTTCCCAGAGCTGGGAAGATGTTGGGATGGACGGAGCAGGAGGGCAGCGCACACAGCTGTGGGGGAGCTGGCCATGGGTGCGGGGCTCAGCTCGTCGAGGGCTCCTGGTGGGTGGTCACCATGCAGAGCCACATCCCTGCAGGCTCATGTTTCACTGCCTCTTCCCGGGTGTGCTTTTCTGTCCCAGGACACATCCGGGATCCAACGTGACAGACACCAAGTTCCCACGCTGCCTCGGGCTCCTCTTGGCTGTGACGGTTTCTCGGACTTTCTTTTTTTGACGACTGTGGCAGTTTTGGGGAGTCCTGGTCCTTTTTAGAGAATGCCCCTCAGTTGGGAGGTGTCTGGTGTTTTCTCTCGTGGTTAGCCTGCAGCTGAGTGTTTCGGGGAGGAAGACCCCAGAGGACAGGCGCCCTCCCTGCATGCGGCGTCTGGGCACACGCGTCAACAGCACTTGGCGCGGTCTCCCCGAGGGCGCCGTCTTCCTCCTCTGTTACCCACGAGCGCAGCTCACCTTCCTTTCCCGCCCCAGCCAGGCTTCTGGAGCCTCGTTTGGTTTTGGTTCCCACTGTCGGATCCGCAGATGGGCTTGCCTTTGGGGCCTGCTGTGCTGTGGAGTAACCCAGGGCACCTGGGGGCTGCTGCGAGACCATCGAGCCTTTGAAAGGCTGTGGAAAGATAGATGACAGGCGGCTGCGGGTGGCCCAGGGGCCAGGCGGCCTTTACATGGGCTTCTTTCCCAGTGACTCTGGCCGGGTCCTGTGGATTTTTAATTCCGACGGCGTGTCTGCAGAATGGAGCACCGTACAAGCCTCATCAGGCGGCGCGGAGGGTACCAGCCCCTGCCGTCCCGGTGCCGCCCGAGGGTGAGGGACATTCGTGGATGATTCACGGGCTTCGTGAGCTATTTGCAGACACCCGCCTGAGTCTCCTTTAAGGGGAAATTCCTGAGCGGCTGCCTCGCTCTTCTCTTCCGAGGCGTGTGGGAGCCCAGCCCGGCCGGGTAGGAGGAGAGGGTTGAAATGCCATGCCTTCTTCTTCTCGCCCTGGATGCTACTGGCTGAAGTAGCCTCCTTTTAAAGCCTTATGAGTCGCTTTTTTCAGTGATAACAGTAACGGTCATGCGCCCTCAGGTTGCGAAGTGGGGCGGGCCAGGCCTGGGGGACCCCGGAATTCCCCTGCGCACTCCTGCCCCGTACACCCGCCGGAGGGGACCGTGGTGGTTGTGAAGGGGCCGTTCCTATCGCTGGTTTTAAGGTGTCCCGAGTTTTGCTGCACTTGGTTTTGGGGAGACCATGAGCTTGGCGCAAACTGAGATTCCCGAGTCAGCCTTTCTAAGCTGTGGTGGGCAGGCCACGGCTGTGATGTACAATGTGAAAGGAGCCGGCCTTTACAGGGCTTCTGTGAGGTGAGTTCAGCATTTCAGCCCTTAAATGTGGAGATAAGTCAGAAACGGGTTCGTCTTCGGGAGGAGGGAGGGGAGGCGAGTTTTGTGGAGGTCGGTACCATGGCTCATTCTGTGTCCTGGCCGGAACTGGGATCAATCCTCTGACCCGCTGAGGATGCCTGCCGTCCCCCGGAGGAGGTGGACTGGGTCGGGCCCTGCCGTCCCCCGGAGGAGGTGGACTGGGTCGGGGCTGGGTTGATGTCCGTGCCCCAGAGGAGGTGGACCGGGTCGGGCCCTGCTGTCCCCCGGAGGAGGTGGACTGGGTCGGGGCTGGGTTGATGTCTGTGCCCCAGAGGAGGTGGACCGGGTTGGGTTCTGCCGTCCACCGGAGGAGGTGGACCGGGTCCGGGTTAGGTTGATGTCTGTACCCTGCTCCTGCCTCAGGGCACGTGGTATCTGGGTGCTGCTCTTTGGCCCATGGGGTGGGGTTTGGCTGGGGAGACCTGATCTGGGTTGTTGGGCCATCCCTCGCCCCCGCTTCACCCTGCTTGGCAGAGGCCACTGGTGCATGGCGCCTGGGCAGGGGCACCACCGGGACCTGCCCTGAGGGTTAGACACTGTGGGCCACCTGGCAAGGACCCTGCCCATCTCACCTTCCTGCACCGCACGCCCAGGCTTTCCCCTGTGTCCGTTTGTCCTCTCAGCCTTCCGGTCATCATGAATGTGCAGAATGACAAGGGAGGAGGTGCTATCCCAGGCGAGTGGCTCTATCCCCAAAACACAGGCAGGGCTCGGCCAGAGGAAAACTCACTGCCCTTCACAGCAGCCAGGACTGCCGATGTCCAAGTCCAGGCCAGGGAGCGCAAGGGACGCGGCTGGGTGAGCAGAGGGTTAGAGGGTGGCTGGGTGAGCAGAGGGTTAGAGGGGGGCTGGGTGTGCAGAGGGTTAGAGGGGGGCTGGGTGAGCAGAGGGTTAGAGGGGGGCTGGGTGTGCAGAGGGTTAGAGGGGGGCCTGGGTGTGCAGAGGGTTAGAAGGGGGCTGGGTGAGCAGAGGGTTAGAAGGGGGCTGGGTGAGCAGAGGGTTAGAGGGGGGCTGGGTGTGCAGAGGGTTAGAAGGGGGCTTGGTGAGCAGAGGGTTAGAGGGGGGCTGGGTGTGCAGAGGGTTAGAGGGGGGCCTGGGTGTGCAGAGGGTTAGAAGGGGGCTGGGTGAGCAGAGGGTTAGAAGGGGGCTGGGTGTGCAGAGGGTTAGAGGGGGGCCTGGGCATGCAGAGGGTTAGAAGGGGGCTGGGTGAGCAGAGGGTTAGAAGGGGGCTGGGTGAGCAGAGGGTTAGAAGGGGGCTGGGTGTGCAGAGGGTTAGAGGGGGGCTGGGTGAGCAGAGGGTTAGAGGGGGGCTGGGCTTGCAGAGGGTTGTGGGGGCCTGGGCGTGCAGAGGGTTAGAGGGGGGCTGGGTGTGCAGAGGGTTAGAGGGGGGCTGGGTGTGCAGAGGGTTAGAGGGGGGCTGGGCGTGCAGAGGGTTAGAGGGGGGCTGGGCTTGCAGAGGGTTGTGGGGGCTGGGCTTGCAGAGGGTTAGAGGGGGGCTGGGTGTGCAGAGGGTTGGAGGGGGCGGCTGGGTGTGCAGAAGGTTAGAGAGGGCATTGGATTTTTAACGAAGGGTCTCTTGACTGGGATGGCATTGAGCCCATGACGTCCCCGGGACGCACTCTTGGTTCAGGTCTGACCTGGCTGTTTTAACCAGATAGAAACGTTTGTGGGCACTCCCAAGTGGGCACTTCCATCCTGCTGAGAGCACGCTTGCTGTGGCCTCCGTAGAGACCAAGCGACACTCTTCTCAAGAAAGTGAGGGGAGATGCGTTCTCTTTAAAGGCTTGAAGGTTGTAATCATGCTCTGAGGCTGCTTTTGGTGACAACATGCTGGTGGCTGAACACACGCTCACATGTTCAGTGCAGTCCCCACCTGGGAGGACCAGCCACACCCTGCTTTTCTGTATTCCGTCCCCCTTTTCTGTGCGTCCTCGCGTTCTGGACTCATCGTCTGTGTTACTTTAATAAGCAGCAGAAGGACAGAGTCGTGCCTCGCTGGCCCCACACGCAGGGCTTTGTCGTGAGGCCGCTGGCGCACAGCCCTGCACAGTCAGACGCAGGGATCTCGGGTGTGACCCTGTGGTGGTTACATCGTTATGTTTTCTAAGTTTAATGAATTTCTCGATATTAATCCAACTTGAGCAAGTTGTTTCTAGTGCTTTTTTCCAACTGCATAGGTTGCCTGTGGGGAGCTTGTGTGTGTGTTTTTCGGGGTGTTCTTGGGGCCTGATAGGCGTTGCCATCTTCCCAAGTGGGCTGCGCAGAGGAGACGCTGCGGTGAGCAGGGGTTGCTTCTGCTGGGAGTGTTGGAGGCGACGGGAAGGATGTTGGTCCCCTTGGTTTGAGCGAATGTGCTTGCTGTGTACACGTTTTTCCTACTTGTACAGTTCGTAGGAGTTCAGATAAACAGTGGTTGCTTGCTGAACGCAGACATAGTTACATGCTAAGACCTCAACCACCAGTAAACCTGTGCTTTCCAGAAGGGATGTAGGCCGGGCAGCGGAGCCCCAAGCTGCACTCCTGGTGGAGAAGGGCAGGCAGGGCTGAGCCTCCGGAGCCACGCACCCTTCCTGCGGGGAAGAGAAACTTGAGCCCAAGCAGCTGTGACTTTGTCCAAGGTTGTCTGTGGGGTTGGCTGCGTGGGAGGGAGAACCCGAAACCCTCGGGTCTCTCCCTCCCTCCCTCCTTCCTTCCCTCCCTTCCTCCCTCCCTCCTTTCTTCCTTCCCTCCCTCCCTCCCTTCATCCCTCCCTCCCTCCTTCCCTCCCTCCCTCCTTCCTTCCCTCCCTTCCCTCCTTCCTTCCCTCCCTCCTTCCTTCCCTCCCTCCCCCCCTCCCTCCTTTCCTTCCTCCCTCCTTCCTTCCCTCCCTTCCCCCCTCCCTCCTTTCCTTCCTCCCTCCTTCCTTCCCTCCCTTCCCCCCTCCCTCCTTTCTTCCTTCCCTCCCTCCCTCTAAGAATAGCTGCACCAGGCTCCTGGTCCTTCATCTTCCATTGACTCCAGAAAGTGTCGCCAGTCACCACTGATCTCTCTGTAAACAGTTGGCCGTTGTGTCCAGAAAAAGGGCCTGAGCAGGAATCCACTGAAACCATTGAAGAGGAGTGGGGAAGGGCCCTGGATGGGACTCATCTTGGAAAGACACCTATAATTGATGGGAAAGACATTTAGACATATTTTCTTAGTTGAAAGTATGTGTAATTTTTCTTTTAACCTGATTTCCATGTAATTTTAGATTTCAGAAAGGTTGCAAGACCAGTGTGGAGAACGCCCATCTGCCCTTGGCCTCCGTTGCCCAAATGCCAACCTCCTGCCATGTTGGCTGTGTCCCTCCTGCCTCCTGCCCTGCCCCAGGTCTCCGTCTTTCACTCCCACGTTTG
Source organism: Homo sapiens (assembly GCF_000001405.40). NCBI lineage: Eukaryota > Metazoa > Chordata > Mammalia > Primates > Hominidae > Homo > Homo sapiens. Next base: position 113,914 of record NT_187548.1, on the reverse strand, counting down.
TTTCTGAACTGTTGGGAGTAAGCAGCTGACGTGGTGCCTCTCACAGGCGTATTTCCTAAAAGCAAGCACGTTTCTTTCAGAATCTCTGCAGTGCAGTCACCAGAATCAGGGAGTTAATGATCACACACGAGAGATCTTTTTCAGATCTCACCAACTGGCCCAATCACGGTCTCTAGAAAAAGAAGTCTGAGGTTGTGCGTGCATTTGACCGTCTCTGTCACCTGGAGCTTCCTCTGAGTTGTCTCCCTGACGTTTTTGAGGGGTGGGGCCGCTGCTCCGTGGCACTGGCCTCTCTGTGGTGTGCCCCATGGTCTAGGCATCTGCAGTCACTCATGGTCGCACCAAGGACCTGCACACCCTGAAGGCTGTGCTTTCCGCCCCAGGCACCCTACTGGGAGCACGTGCTGCCCGCCTGCCCCCAGACGGCGATGCCCTCTTTGCTGGCACGGCTGGAACCCACCACTCCTGCGGCTGGTGCCTGTCAGCCAGCCAGGGTGGCCGCCAGTGGGCTCTGGCACATCTGAAATGTCCCATAGAGAATGCCCACCCTCCCAGCTGGGGTTGTTTGGTGCAGTGATGAGGTCTTGGCCTGCCCTCCTCCGGCCACCTCGCATCCTGCCTTGACCGTTTCTTCTGCACCCTCAGGGTCCCACACCATTCTGTGCAGGGCTAGGGTGGACTGGGCAAGGATGGGCCGAGCACCCCTAGGAAGGGTCCCGGCTTGGTCGTTCCCAGTCTGGGGAGCTGGTGTGCAGCACATGGGGCAGAGGGCCCTGAGGGCCCTGGGGTGCGTGGGTGGCTATGGTTTGATGCCCTTCAGCTCCTCACCGTGCCTGGCTGGGGCATGTGCATTTGCAGACCCTGTTCTGACCATGGGCTGCTCAGGGGTCCCGGGCAGGCTGTGGTCTCTGCAGTGGCCTGTGCCGAGTTCCTTGTGTTGCTGTGACAGTCCCCCAGGTCAGGTGATTCATGAACACAGAAACTTCTCAGAGTTCTTGAGGCTGAAAGTCTTAGACCAAGGCCTGGGCAGGTTTGGGGTCTGGCGAGGGCCCTAGGTTCCCTGCCGTGTCCTCCCATGGAGGGTGGGAGGGCGACAGCTCTGCTGCTGAGGCCTGGGGGTAGGGACTTTCATCCCCTTCCACACCTCACCACCTCCTACGGGCCCCACCTCCTACCGGCCCCGCCTCCTACCGGCCCCCCGCCTCCTACCGCCCCCACCTCCTACCGACCCTATCTTCTAACACCGTCACATGGGCCATCGGGCCTCAACCTGCCAGGGAGCCTCAAGTCCTCCTCCCCACCAATTCCCTTGCTCATGCTCTCGGGCAGCTGCTAGGATTACCCCCTGGTTCGAAGCCTGGGCTCAGCCCCATGGAGGGGTCGCCGGCCCAGCCTTCCTGAAAGACTCAGGAGGGGCTCATTTACCTAGAGAGCCTGTGGGCGGCGTCCTCAACAGGGAACAGTGGGAAGTCCTCTGTGTCCCTCCGAAATGGCGGATTAAGCAGCAAGGCTAGGAGGTGCCACCCCGACTTTTAAGAGTGAGAATTTTGCCCACATTTGGCTGAATGAGAGATTTTCAACGCCAGAGGGAGGTACCCTTGCCCTGGGCTGAACAGCTCACTTGCCGAGGCTTTCAGGGGCTTTGTCTTCAATGATGATGTGTGTGGGGGATAGCGTATGCCCTGGAGCTAGCGTGTGTTCTGGGGATAGCTTGTGTCCTAGGGATAGCTTGTGTTCTGGGGATAGCTTGCGCATTGGGGCTAGCATGTGTCCTGGGACTAGCGTGCACCCTGGGAAATGCCCCTTTCTTTGGAACACAGATGTGTGGAAGGAAGGAGAGTGTGTGAGAAGTATCACCCTTAGCCATGGTTTAGAGGTGACAGCTGGTGGGGACCAGAGCCCTCCGTGCAAGATCTGTAGTTGGCCTTCTGTGCTTGCTTTTAGTTCCTTCTAAGCTGACTCTGAATTGTTTTTCCCTCACTAGGAGATGGAAATCCAAGAGAAAACAGCCCATTCCTCAACAATGTCGAGGTGGAACAAGAGAGCTTCTTTGAAGGGAAGAACATGGCACTTTTCGAGGTAACTTTACTTTTTAGAAGAAGAAGGTGCCAGGGCCGTTGCTTTGATGTGGAAAAGTAAAGGAGCCCCTGGGGGCCCCCAGGCCGGGGCCTCCCACAGGACTGGACACCACGTGGAAGGAACTGGGGCCTCCCTGTCCTGAAGGCTGTGGCGGGGGCCCAGTCCCGCACTTGAGCTGGGACGTGCTCCTCGGCTGGTGCCTTCTGGGCTCCTTCCTGGATCTAGGGTGCTCCGGCCCCACGGGAACCCCTCTGAGCTGCTGAGTGCTGGACACCCTGGGGTCCCTGCCATGGGTGGGTGGCCCCACTCAGTGAGGCCTGGAGCCCTGGCCTCGGACTCAGACCTGCCACACAGGTGTCCAGGCCTCTCTGGCTTGCTTCAGACCCAGGGGCTGAGGACCCGGGGAGGGCCTGAGCTCCACACCCTGAACACGGGGAGGGAGGTCGGGGGGCCCACGGCGAGGTGCGGGCCGCCTGTGACCATGTCCACGCCGCGCAGGAGGAGATGGACAGTAACCCCATGGTGTCCTCGCTGCTCAACAAGCTGGCCAACTACACCAACCTGAGCCAGGGCGTGGTGGAGCACGAGGAGGACGAGGAGAGCCGGCGGCGGGAGGCCAAGGTACTGCCACCCTGCCCGTGCCCGCCCAGTCCCCGCCCCGTGTGTCCCGGCAGGGTTAGATCACGCCGGCAAGGCAGTTGCTTGTCAGAAGAGCTGCCCTGAGCTCTGGTATCATGGCCACGTCCAGCCCTTTCTTCCTGGGAGGGCTCGATGGTGCCTGCCCTGCAGCTCCTGTCCAGGCCTCTTCCCTCTCCACCGTCCGGGGAAGCGTGACACCCCCATGCATCTGGGTGGCCGGGTTCCCTGTCGAGAAATGAACTTGGGGTGTTTTGTTCGTTCTGCGGGAGCGGCCCCATCCCCTGCTGTGGAGAGGAGTCTGAATGGTGCCGAGAGGCCGGGACGTGGCCCCTTCCAGAGGGTGCTGTGGCCTCGGTGCTCCCAGGGGCCACCCTCCTTTTCATTTCCTGTCCAGGACACTTAGCCTGGTAGCATTTTCCCTGCAGTTTTATTCCCTGAGGATTTGTTTCCAGGAATCCGTCCTAGGAAACGAGGGGGGTGCAGTGGGGAAAGGTTTCCCTTGAGTGGTTTCTGTGGGTGACGAGGTGTGGAAACCCCTTGAGCATCCTCGGGAGGGTTCTGCCGTCCTGTACAGACGGGTTGCCTGAGAGCCACCCTGAGGCCTGAGGCCCTGAGGTGACGCTCACAGGCGAGAAAGACCCTGGACCCGTGTTGGGGGAGATCTTAGGTCCTCGCTGTGGGGGTGCGGCGGGTGGCTCAGTTTCTTCTCAACTCCCTCTGCTTTTTAAATCTTCTTTCAAATATGTCTGTGTTGCTCTAGAATAAGATACAAAAAACAAAAAAAAATAATCCACCGGAAGAAACCAAGCAGCGCAGGCCCTGCTCTGAAGCCGGGCGACGGCCTCCCCCAGTCTTGACACAAAATTGTCATTTCCCGAGTCAGCCCCGAGCCTGTGCCCCCCTCCTTCGGCAGACAGCTAAGGGCATACGTTGGCTTTTTAGGGTGATTTTTAAATTCCCCTATTATTTTCCTTAACTTTCTAACTCTAAAAATACCATCAGGAGATCCCTATCTTCTCAGAAGGGAGGGTTTTGTAGTGCCAGGTAGAGGCCAGTGAGCAGGAAGGAAGGAGGTGCTGAGCCAGGCGCCCCCAGGTCCAGGGAGGGTGGGCCCCCCTGCTGCGTGTGACCTCCACCAAGTGGGGCGTCCGTCGGCCGGCTCCTTGCCCTCCCCTGCATCCTCCCAGCCTGGGCTCTGCGCTTTGCGTCGACGCCACCCCTGAGTGCCTCCTGCCAGCGTCCAGTGTTCTGCTGACCTGGGTCCCACACAGCAGTCGGGAAGTCAGGCCGCTCAAGATGTCTCTTTCCTTCCTTTTACTGTAAACACAGCGGAATTAATACTGCATTTCCAAAATACTTGAAGACATTTGGTTTTGTTTTTGAGAAGCCTCAATCTGGGGTTGAAGTAACCGGAGACGAGGGACGTGACCGTGAGACCACCTTGGGGTGGGGCCTGGCCTGATGAGGGCCCTCAGCCCTGGCTGTTGTCCCAGGACAGGGTAGTGGCCTCTTCAGAAGCTGCATCTCTGGACCTCTTTCTGGTTCCCCTGCTGGGTCCTTCCCGGCTCGGGGAGCTTGTGGCCGCCCCCCCTGTCTGTAGCTCGGCCAGCCCTTGGGGTGGGACCATCACTGCTGCACGTGGACGCTGCGGAATTGGGTGTTGCCAGGCTCAGCACTCAGCACCTTTCTGCACGTGGATGGTGTGGAACTGGGCATTGCCGGGCTCAGCACTCAGCACCTTTCTGCACGTGGACGCTGCGGAACTGGGTATTGCCGTGCCGCACGTGGACGCCGCGGAATTGGGTGGTGGTGTGCCGGGCTCAGCACTCAGTACCTTTCCGCACGTGGACGCTGTGGAACTGGGTATTGCCGGGCTCAGCACTCAGCACCTTTCTGGGGTTTCACGCATGCTGGGCACTACCTTGAGGCCTCATGGGCTCAGGCTGGTACTCTGGCACCAAAACTCAGGAGCCACAGGCCTTCCCTGTCTGTCCGCCTGTGTGCTGGAGTTTGTGTCCTAGGGAGATGTTGGCTTTCTCCAGGGAGCAGGTGTCTTCCCACGGGCCTGGTCCGAGTGCTCCGGGAACAGGCTTTAGCTCCAGCTCGGCTGGGCTCAGGCACCACTGGCCTGGACATCCAGCTCCAACCCCTCTGCCTGATGGAGCCCAGCCTGCCATGAGGTGCCCATAGAGAGCACACCCCAGCTTCTCTCACCCTACTTGGTACTGAGACATGACTGAAACGTCCAGGCAGGTGCGTTTGTTCATGGCACACTGTGGGCCAGGGCCCAGGAGGTTCCCACCTGGAAGGCTCTCCCTGGCCCTCCCTGGCAACCCTACCCCCAGGCTGGTGGCTCTCAGGCCTCTGTCCCTCAGGGACAATATGCAGGTACCCCAGGCTGATGCTGCCTGCGTTTCAGTCGTGGAGGGACCAGGGCCCGTGACCCCAGCAGGCCTGTTGTTTGACGGTGGCGGGTTTCAGTTGGCAGTGACTCCTTCGGCTCCCTTAGGGGACCGTGGCTCGGCCCCTGGGGTGGAAGGGCAGGGGCCGCCCCTGGTCCTCTTTGCCAGGCTCAGAGGCTCATCCCCAGCAGACCTGCTCCCATTGAGGAGCCTTTTCAAGGGCCCAGGCATCTCCAGCCTCCCGCGCCTGAAATTGGGTCAGGTTGAGCCTTAAAAGTTGCCTTTAGGCGCGAACCAAGAGGCCAAGGCCGGCCATGCCCTTCCGTGAGGAGTCAGGATCCCCCGCCTTTGGCCGAGAACCAGCTTCTGACTCGCCTGTCACGGGGCTGCGGGATTTGAGGCTGAGCCTGGAGGGCAGGGGCCCCTGTGTGGACCGCGTCTCTGCCTGGAGCTCTGCCTGTCGGCTCCTGCATTAGCTGAAGCCTCGCTGGGAAGTCACAGCAACAATTGTCCCTGGAGCCTTGCTGTCACCTCTGCCCTGGGCTCTCAGTTTTATCCAATGAGAATGTCCCAAAGCCGGTTCTCCACCATCCGCCACCGCTTCTCTCGTTTGCACCAAGAACAAAGCATACCCAGATTTGGAGGGCCCAGCAGCGGCCCCCAGCCCCGTCACCCTCTCCTCTCCAGGGCCCCTGTCAGAAGCAAGTCGCTCCCCTGTTGCTTCCCACCTAGGGCTCAGGGAACCAAGTGAATCCCCCAGGCTCTCAGATCCAGGGCTTCCCACGCTCCGAGCTGCTCTTACATTATTTTTCCCAGGGTCCTAAAGTTGGTGGAGCCCTAGAGCCCTGCCCTGGCCCCAGCCTCGGCCAGTCTGTGGGAGGCGTTCCGGCACGGTGACCCCAGAAGCCACCCTGTTTGCTTTTGTGATGTGGTGTTCAGCGTGCTCTCCCTGGGAGCTGCCCCTCACCTGGTCCCCTGTTCCCATCCTCCCCAGGCCTGGGCTGTGTGAACCCCAGGATCGAAGCCCCGCACGGGGCCTGTTCTGATCCACATTGTGGCCACTGTTCACAGGAAGTGTCTTCAAATAAAACCTTCCCCCTTTTCCGTATTGACCTTGAGACGTTTTCCTGTTAAAACGTCACCTTGTGCTGGCACCAGCCGTCCTCCAGGTCTGAGCCACGTGCCTCTGCTCATGGCGGGAGTGGGGCTGAGCAGGCAGTGGGGATGGAGCTGAAACTTCTACCCCAGCCTGGCCCGTCCCGAGTGGAGCTGGGGAGCTGCCTGGCAGGCGCTGGCCTGCTCCTGGCTGTGCTGCTGACCCTTGCCCATGTGGGTTTTCTCAGGGCACAGGGTGTGTCCCCCTCTCTGGCACAGGTGTCTGAAGCAGGCTGCCTGCTCCGTGCTGGGGCAGGCGGGGTGGCCCCCACGTGGATATCTGAACCTTTGCTGTTATCTCGTGGTGACCTCCGTGCCCGGTTAAGATGTGTCAGTTTCTGCCCAGGGCCGACGCTGAGCTGTGGATTTTTTTTTTTTTTTTTTTTAGCTTTATGGGCAGCAGCCGTCTCATCCCTCCGCTGGCTCTGCTTCCATTCCTGAAGTCTCAGGCTCTCCCAGGGTGTCAGATCTCAGGCCCTGAGCCATCCAGGGAACGGAGCCGGGGGCCCTCTCGTTCTCCCTCTTGTTTTTTCCATAACTTTTCCAGTGTAACAGGTTTCCCTCCGTCGGGGAGGCACAGCGGAGCAGCTGCATCTTGGTTCTCTGCCAACCATGTGGTTCTGCTCCCCTCCCCTAAGCCCTCATTCCGGGATGGTCAGGGGTCCTGTCCTGGGCCTCTCTCTGAACCTCCATCTGTTCTGGGAAGGACTCCTGCCCCCTCCTGCCCCCACGGCCGCTTTGCCTGCCCAGGGCCTGAGTGCAGCCTGGGGAGGGGGCTCCCTCTGGGTGTGGGGTACGAGCCCCTGGGACACGCTATGCTCTGTCGCAGGCTCCGCGCATGGGCACCTTCATCGGCGTCTACCTGCCGTGCCTGCAGAACATCCTGGGCGTCATCCTCTTCCTGCGCCTGACGTGGATCGTGGGGGTGGCTGGTGTCCTGGAGTCCTTCCTCATCGTGGCCATGTGCTGCACATGTGTGAGTCTCCCCCGGCCAGGTGTGGCTGTGCCTTCGGGCGGTGGCAGCTGGACAGTAGGGCTCTCCCCAGATGCCGTCTCCCCTGGCCGCTGTGGTTGTGCCTTCGGGCGGTGGCAGCCGGACAGTAGGGCCCTCCCCAGACGCCCGTGTAGACGTCGTTCAGCGCCGTCTCCTCCACGAGAGCCGGGCAGCTGCGGGGATGAGATGCCACACTGTCCGGGGTTAGTGCTGGCGTGTTGACTGGCGTGCTGGCACCTCATTTACCCGTGTCTGCGGACAGGCATCTCAGCCAGTGGTGGGTGTCATGGGGCGGCACCCGGGGGCTGAGGCTTCCAAGGGAAGGGACACCCTGTGTTTTGATGACATCACCTCCAGTTTGGAAGGACCTTGGGCACTTTCAGGGGTCGCTGTCATAGGGGAAGGGGTGGGAACCAGGACACGCATGCCTGGTGCCCGGGAGCCTCCAGGTCCTGTTTCCTAGCCACTCCATTGAGATGGAGAGCCCTGGAGTTGGGGGCTGGCATTCGGCGGGAGCCGGGTCATAGACCCTGACTTGGGAGTGTTGCGATGCCGGCAGGCTGTTGGAAAACTCTCCTCAGATGGCTGCCTGTCTTTTTGCAGACAATGCTGACCGCCATTTCCATGAGTGCGATCGCTACCAACGGTGTGGTCCCAGGTAAGGGGTGCCCGCCAGCCGCGGCCCTGAGTCCTGTTAGAGGAGTCTGTGTTTTGCCGCACGGCAACCGCGAGGAGGCCGCTTGGCGAGGCCGGGCCGGGGGCTGCCTGGGGGTCTCAGCCGGGCCTTCTGCGTGTTCTCCACTGGCTCCTCTGGCGTTTGAGCCGTGAGGTCACGGCTGTTTGGTTTTCTTCCCCATTTTGCTGCGTGGTGACCGTCTCTTGCCAGGGTAGGCAGTGCCCACCAGGCAGCGGGCTGGGGAGGGGGAGGCACGGGCGATTCCAGTGGCTCCTGTAGCCCAGCGTGTGCCATAGGCTGAGTTCTTGGAACCTGTATCTCACGAGGGAAGGTGAAGACAAAACACTGCCCTGACCTTGTTAATTAGTAATAAGTTAATTACAATACATAATAACTAAATAACTAGTGAACCGAGATGATATTAATTAGTAATAAGTTAATTACAATACGTAATAACTAGTAAACTGAGATGATACTGTTAATTAGTAATAAACGAATTACGATACGAAATAACTAGTGAACGGAGACGCTGCCGCGTCTGCTTCTGAGTGCATGTGTGCTGCGCGTGTTAACGGCTGGGCTTGCTCAGCACCAGGTCCTCACGCAGCTGGTCCCCATCCCCACGGGGGCATCGCTTGGTGCTCAGCGGACTTCCCCGGCCTCAGGAGAGCATGAGGGCCTTCACCAGGGGTCTCCCTCCGCAGCCAAGGGACCAGTCTCTGCTTCACGATGGCCGCGTCCATTAGGACCCCTTCCACATGCCACACGCACTGCTCAGAGCAGGGAGAGCTGCGTTCTCCAGGCAGCCCTGGGGTTGCGCCCGGCTTTCCCGCCAGTGATAGCGTGCGTGGTTCACAGTACACGAGACGACTCCTGAACATCCTAGTTTCTCTTTTGCCTTTTTCATAAGCAAAACTTAGTGGAAGTGGGGGCTGGGGCTGCCACTGATGTACGCGGGACTTTTTCTGGGACCTGCTGGGGCCTCCTGCTCCCCAGAGAGCCTTATCCCTGACCTCACCTGGTCCTCATGTCCATGAGAGCGCGTGCTCTCGGTGTGGAACGTGTGCCGAGCCTCGGGAGGGGAGAGTTCACCGTGGAAGCGTCTCCATGTGCTGCTTTGCGGGTGGACGAGGGTCTACACGCTGCCTTCGCAGAGACAGGCCCTCCTTTGCCCGTGAATGGCAGCGCAGACCGCACCTCGGGTCCGAGTCCAAGTGCGCCCCTGACCCGCGGCTGCCGCCTTTGTCTCCGCAGCTGGCGGGTCCTACTACATGATATCGCGCTCGCTGGGACCCGAGTTTGGAGGCGCTGTCGGCCTCTGCTTCTACCTGGGCACGACGTTTGCAGGGGCCATGTATATTTTGGGGACCATCGAGATTTTTCTGGTAAGTGTGCTGCTTTGGAAGGGTTCCCACCCCACAGTCTGTGGCAGGATGCCAAGGGGCCCTGCCTGACCCACTCTGTGGCACACACAGCACACTGAGCCATCCTGACCCCACTGCCCTGGCTGCCCCTGGGCTCTCCTGGGCTCTGGCCATGGCGGAAGCCACTGGGCAGCGTCCACTCAGCAGCGACCTGTGTCCCCCTTGAGCACCATTGCTGCCCTCCGTGAGGCGTGCCTGGCATGAGCTGGGTAGACATCTGGACTGTAGATCTGAGCCCCGCGTAGGTGCAGTCCTGCAGTCGGAGCTGTTTTAGGAGCAGGGCTGGAACTCGGCTTAGAAGAACCTTTTGCCAGGATCCCAGCCTCTTCTCTGCCTGATCTGGGCACTTGGCCGAGGGTCCCAGAGCCCAGCAATGTACAACCAGGTGATGTCATCACCTTCTCAAAACAGGCATGCTCAAAGCATGTCCCACATCACCTGAGCACAGCTGAGAGCTGTGGCCTGAGTTCCTTGGTCCTCGTGGGGACGGGAACCGCCCTTCTCTGGCCGACGGGTGCTGTCCTTCCTGCTGAGGTTCTGAAACCCGCTGTCCCTGCAGGGCTTCAGAGACGCTCACCTGAGCCCCTGTCCCCAGTCTTTCTGCCCCTCCCTCTGCTGCCAGACCTGGTTCCTGGCCTCCTGGGTTCCTGAAGAGAGCCACATGGCCAAGAAGGTTCTGAAACCTTTCAGTGGGGTCGCACCCACACCCGTCCCAACCCGAGTCCCCTGGCCATGTCCCTCCATCTTTCCACCTGCCCCAGGTGCCGTGGCTGCCGCACTCCCAGGATCCCCTTTGGTGGGGGTGGGTGCCATGCCCTCCATGCCTGCTGCACCCCAGTCCTGTCCTGGTCTTGAGGGAGCTGAGCAGCACTGTCTCACGTCTCCGTCCCTTCCCTTGAATCTGGGCAGAACAGAGGTTGCCCCCCGCCGGCGTGGTCAGACCCTGTGTGTGTCCAGGACGTCCAGCCGGGGTGGGCCGAGCTCTCTGGGCAGCAGTCACATTCCTCTTAGCAGAAGGTGTTTCTTTTGAGTGCGGACATGCGGATGCCCCGGGTCCTGAAGTTGCTTTACTCTAAGGCTCCCGGGTGGTTCCTGGGAAACGTTCAGGCCCCTGGCTGTCCATGGCCTGTGCGCTGACCCCCGCGGGCTCCGTCCCTCGCCTGTGCGCTGACCCCCGCGGGCTCCGTCCCTTGCCTGTGCGCTGACCCCCGCGGGCTCCGTCCAGCACGGATGCGTCCCGATGGCCCCGGCACCTGTTGGGAGGAGGCCCCTGTGTGGCGCTGGGGGCTTGCGGGAGGGACGGGCACTGGGGAGTTGTGTCCGGGGACGGCCTCCCGACCTGCCTTGTTCCCACAGACGTACATCTCCCCGGGTGCGGCCATCTTCCAGGCGGAGGCTGCAGGTGGCGAGGCGGCCGCCATGCTGCACAACATGCGTGTGTACGGCACGTGCACGCTCGTGCTCATGGCCCTGGTGGTCTTCGTGGGCGTCAAGTATGTCAACAAGCTGGCGCTGGTCTTCCTGGCCTGCGTCGTGCTGTCCATCCTGGCCATCTATGCCGGCGTCATCAAGTCTGCCTTCGACCCCCCGGACATCCCGTGAGTCTCGGGGCCTCTGAGCCGTGGGTGGGTGTGGGGCTGGGGCCAGGTCCCATGGGCTCTGCCCGCCTCTCGTCCATCATCCTTGACGCCGAGCTCCCCGCAAGGGGTGGGCTGGGTGTGACCGTGGCGGGAACCCCCGTGGGCTCGTTCTGGGGATTACGGGAAACCCAACGGTGAGGTGGGCCGAGGTACCCTCGTGGCCGGGTCTGAGCATGAAGACCCTCCTCAGTGGCAGGAGGGCTGGTGAGGGGTCTGGCAGGTTTCAGGGGTGGCCGGTGGCCCTGAGCACGGTCAGGTGCAGTGAGCGTCGTGGGTGTGGCCCTGGCTGCTGCTGGGGCCTGGGTGTCTTCTCCCTCCCAGAGGTGCTTGGAGGGGCTCTTTTCTTGTCCTTTTGGAGGAGCAGCTGGGAGGCGGCCCAGGGTCCTGGAACATGGGAGTGGCCACCAGAGCCCGCAGGGAGCAGGTCCAGAAAGGGCCAGCAGCCAAGCCCCTTGAGGCTCCCGCGGTTTTGCCGTCTCTGCGTGGAGGGAGCCCCTGAAGGAACAGCCTCATAGAGGCCTCAAAACAGAGGGAGGCAGAACAGCTGCAACCCCACAAGCCCGTTTTAGGGAAGCACAGCTGCCCTCCCCCTCGGGGACCCGTCCTGAGACCCCCTGCCGATGCCTGACGCTACGGCCCTGTGTAGACTGTTTTCCACGTACAGGCCTGGCTTATACGTCGGGGGCGGCACTCCTGTGCTCTTGGCCGTTGGCACGTGGCACGAGGGTGGCTTGAACTCAGACACTGAGATTGTGACAGCTGACCCGGCCAGGACGCCGCCGAGGGCCTCGGGGAGGGAGCGGCTGCAGCGTGGCTGTGCTGGCGCGGGGGGAGGTTGCTGGGTTCCACCTCACTACTCGGCACCGCGCGGTGGAAAACGTGTGAATTGTTTACGTCTAGAACGCTTCATTTAGCACGTTTGGACCATGGGTGGCCGAACCATGGATGAGGGGACGGCTGTACAGTACAGCGTTCCTGCTGCAGCCTGGCCTGGTCCCCGGTCCCTGGTCCCCAGTCCCCGGTCCCCAGTGTGATCCCTGGCCCTTGCGTTCCTGCTGCAGCCTGGCCTGGGCCCGGTCCCTGGCGTGATCTGTGGCCTTCCTGTCTTGGGAGGTGCAGGGTGCCAGGAGCCACTCGCGGGCGACACCATGGGTGCCCGTTGGGGGAGCTGGGTGGGGCAGTAAAAGCCACTTCGGTGGCAGCACACGTGCCGTGCCTCCCTGTCCCGCCCAGGGTCTGCCTCCTGGGGAACCGCACGCTGTCACGGCGCAGCTTCGATGCCTGCGTCAAGGCCTACGGCATCCACAACAACTCAGCCACCTCCGCGCTCTGGGGCCTCTTCTGCAACGGCTCCCAGCCCAGCGCCGCCTGTGACGAGTACTTCATCCAGAACAACGTCACCGAAATCCAGGGCATCCCGGGCGCGGCCAGTGGTGTCTTCCTGGGTGAGGCTCACAGGGCTGCAGCTGGAGCTGGGGGGTGGCGGGGGCAGCAGGCGCTGGCCCTGGTGGCTGCTCTCGCCTTAGAGTCACTCTCAGGGCCCCAATTCCTCCTGCCTGGCCGAGCCCCTTCCCAGCTGCTGCTGATGAGCCTGGGGGTCCCTGTACACACCCCTGGCAGAGCCATAGAAGCCAAACACGGTGTGGCAGGGAGACAGCCTCCGTCATGGTCAGCAAGCTGGTCTTAATGCTATGGATTTATTTTCATGACCTCCTGGCAGCATGTATGGGGAACTTGCTGTGTTAAGAAGGGAGTGGTAGCTGGGCGGTAGCTTCCCCCTCTGTGTATCCTTCTCTGATGAGAGGCTGCCTCGGACCTGCCCCAGGGGGTTGAGGGAAAAGGACCCCTGGCAGGGTACACGAGACCTGCTCCAGAACCCGAGACGGGAAGCCCGGACTTTCCAGAACCCGAGACGGGAAGCCCAGGCTTTCCAGAACCCAAGACAGGAAGCCCAGGCTTTCCAGAGCCCTAGAGAGGAAGCCCAGGCTTTCCAGAACCCTAGAGAGGAAGCCCGGACTTTCCAGAACCCGAGATGGGGAAGCCCGGACTTTCCAGAACCCTAGAGAGGAAGCCCAGGCTTTCCAGAACCCAAGACGGGAAGCCTGGACTTTCCAGAACCTGAGACGGGAAGCCCAGGCTTTCCAGAACCTGAGATGGGAAGCCTGGACTTTCCAGAACCCTAGAGAGGAAGCCCAGGCTTTCCAGAACCCGAGACGGGAAGCCCAGGCTTTCCAGAACCCGAGACGGGAAGCCCAGGCTTTCCAGAACCCGAGACGGGAAGCCTGGACTTTCCAGAACCCGAGACGGGAAGCCCAGGCTTTCCAGAACCCAAGACGGGAAGCCTGGACTTTCCAGAACCTGAGACGGGAAGCCCAGGCTTTCCAGAACCCAAGACGGGAAGCCTGGACTTTCCAGAACCTGAGATGGGAAGCCCAGGCTTTCCAGAACCCGAGATGGGAAGCCCGGACTTTCCAGAACCCTAGAGAGGAAGCCCAGGCTTTCCAGAACCCGAGACGGGGAAGCCCGGACTTTCCAGAACCCTAGAGAGGAAGCCCAGGCTTTCCAGAACCCTAGAGAGGAAGCCCGGACTTTCCAGAACCCGAGACAGGAAGCCCGGACTTTCCAGAACCTGAGACGGGAAGCCCGGACTTCCCCAGAACCCGAGACGGGGAAGCCCGGACTTTCCAGAACCCTAGAGAGGAAGCCCAGGCTTTCCAGAACCCAAGATGGGAAGCCCAGGCTTTCCAGAACCCGAGACGGGAAGCCTGGACTTTCCAGAACCCGAGACGGGAAGCCTGGACTTTCCAGAACCCGAGACGGGAAGCCCGGACTTTCCAGAACCCTAGAGAGGAAGCCCAGGCTTTCCAGAACCCGAGACGGGGAAGCCCGGACTTTCCAGAACCCTAGAGAGGAAGCCCAGGCTTTCCAGAACCCGAGACGGGGAAGCCCGGACTTTCCAGAACCCTAGAGAGGAAGCCCAGGCTTTCCAGAACCCTAGAGAGGAAGCCCGGACTTTCCAGAACCCGAGACGGGAAGCCCGGACTTTCCAGAACCTGAGACGGGAAGCCCGGACTTCCCCAGAACCCGAGACGGGGAAGCCCGGACTTTCCAGAACCCTAGAGAGGAAGCCCAGGCTTTCCAGAACCCGAGACGGGAAGCCTGGACTTTCCAGAACCCGAGACGGGAAGCCCAGGCTTTCCAGGAGTATGTTGTTCCCCACATGAGGCTTCTCTTTAGTGCTGACCTTCCCTCCGTAGAGGCAGACAGGCAGCTTTCCCAGAGGTACCATCTCGAAAGCGTGTTTGAATTGGAGCCTGCTTGCGGCGCACAAGCTGTGACCCTTCCCCTCCGGCCACCAGTGGCACCTGCCGGGGAGTGGGCGGCCCCATGGCGGGGGCACTGCACAGAAGGTGCCAGAAACCCATGGGATCTTCCTTGCCCGGCAGAGAACCTGTGGAGTACGTACGCGCACGCGGGGGCGTTTGTGGAGAAGAAAGGTGTGCCCTCGGTGCCCGTGGCAGAGGAGAGCCGTGCCAGCACACTGCCCTACGTGCTCACCGACATCGCGGCCTCCTTCACCCTGCTGGTTGGCATCTACTTCCCTTCCGTGACCGGTGAGCCCGCTGCTCCAGGCTTCCCCTTCTCTTTCTTTCTCTCCCTCTCTTTTTTGAGGCAAGGTCTTGCTCTGTCACCCAGGCTGGAGGGCAGTGGTGTGATCACGGCTCACTGCAGCCTCAACTCCTAGACACAAATATTCCTCCCACCTGAGTCTCCCAAGCAGCTGGGACCCCAGGCACCCAGTACCACGCCCGGCTAATATCTGTATTTTTTGTAGAGGGGGGCAGCCGGGACCCCAGGCACACGGTACCACGCCCGGTTAATGTCTGTATTTTTTGTAGACGGGGGTCTCCCCACGTTGCTCAGGCTGGTCTCAAACTCCTGAGCTCAAGCCATCCTCAGCCTCCCAAAGTGCTGGGATTACAGACGTCTTGAGCCACCACGCCTGGCTTCCTTCTTTCTCTTCCTTTGTCTTTGTCCATTTCTCTGTCTCTGTCATTCTCTCCTCCGGCACTCTCTCTCTCCCCCTACCCTTTTCCCTCTCTCTCTGTCTCTCTCTCTCTCTCTCTGTCTCCCTCTTCTTCCCTCCCTCCCTCTCTCTCTCTCTGTCTGTCTGTCTGTCTCTCTCTCTGTCTCTCTCTCTGTAGTGTGTTCCTTCCTGCCCCTGCTTATCTTGCCTGTTTGGCTCAGGGGAAGTGGCTGAGGTCTCTGCCCTGCGTCCTGATGGATTTGTGAGAAGCCTGTCTGCTGCTCTCCCAGGCAGCCCTGTGTCAGGAGAAGCTGTTGTAGGGTTGCTGGGAACACCTGGCAGGCTGTTAGGAGACACCTAGGAGTGGCCTCAGTGTGAGCTCAGAGGCCGGGGACCTCGGCCCTCTGTGTCCTCCTCAAACAGTGGGCCTTGTTCCGGCGGTGGGTGGGGCCCTTGGTTGTTCCCCAGGGGGTGGGGCCAGGCCCCGTGCTCTTCGAGTCGCACACACACGCCCCCGGCTGTCTCCACTCGGCCTTCTTGTCGGGACGCCCCTGACAGGCGCTGGCTGCTTGTGCAGCCTGCAGCTGCCCTTCTGGTCCCTTCTGGTCCCTCCCACGTCTGCTCCCGGACTTCATCTCAGCACATCCGAAAGCCCTGGAGCCCAGGGTCAGCTGCAGGGCCTGGCCACAGCGCTGGCTTCTCGTGTTTCCCTTGCCTCCACTGAAGGTGGGCCCGTCTTGCTATGGAGGGGGTGATCTGCCGGGGGTCCTCTCCCTGTACCTCCGCTCCAGCCTCCCCCGTCCGTCTGCGTGCACTCCGCGCCGCGGGTGGAGGGCGTGGGGGCAGAGCCTCTGCGTGGCTCCGGGTGTCTCTGAGCCGCGGGTGGAGGGCGTGGGGGCAGAGCCTCTGCGTGGCTCCGGGTGTCTCCGCGGCACTGGATTGTGGGCTCTGCTGCCTCCCAGGCCACCCCGAGCAATGGGTGCTTCAGGCTGCGCCTTGGATGGGACCGAGCCAGGCGTCAAGTGGCCCCCACCGACCCGGCTTCCCAGAGCTTTGTAGGAGCCGATTGTGTGGAAACATCCCCGGCCGTGGCTCCCTAGAGCAAGGTGGTGCCACAGCGGGAGGGGTCGCAGCGTCTGCTGGCCTGGCTGGCTGGGCTGAGTCGTTCTAGGATCTCATTCCCAAAGTCCTTAGGTCCTGGGGGCCTGTGAGCCATTGCTCAGCACCGTCTCTGGGCTGACCCTTGGCCATGGGATTAACACAGGCTCCAGAGAAGCCCTGGGTGTGGGGGGCGTGGGGGTCAGTGACGGGGTCGGTTCTCGTCCTCGGATCCAGGGGAGCAGTAGACGTGGGTGCTCATCCGCGTGCCTGGGCCCGCATCCCCTCAGCCGCAGTATTGCAGCGTGGGCTGGCGGAGCTTGGACTGCAGCCTCGGCTGCAGCTCACGCTCGGGGTCTCCCCAGAGACCGCCTTTCCAGCTTTCTGGGCAGGGGCTGCCATCACATGGCACTGACTCCTCAGATGGGTCTTTGCAGCATTTTCCATGTTCACAGGTATCATGGCGGGTTCAAACCGGTCCGGGGACCTCAAGGATGCACAGAAGTCCATCCCCACGGGGACCATCCTGGCCATAGTGACGACGTCTTTCATCTGTATCCTTGGAGGGGTGCAGGCGAGGGTTCCAGCCTCTGCCTGGGGGGAGGCCCCCATGCCCTCCCCGGCTCAGCATCATACCCTCGGCCACCAGCATGTGACTTCCCAGGTTAGGCTGTGCTCTCACCACGTCATCCTCCCTGGGAGACGGGGCAAGGGCTGCTGTCAGGACCCTGGCTTCTTCACCACTGTGTGATGCGATCGTAGAGAAAACAGAAGCAGTCACCCTGCCGCGTGTGGACAGTGATGCGCAGCGGTGTGTGGGGTGTGCCGCCGGCAGGCTGGGCCCGCGGGGCCTCTGGCTTCTCAATCCCAAGGCTGCCTCTTTCCAGCCGAGCATTGTCCCCTCAGCATGGTCCCCTGCCAATCCCTGGCGGTCAAGCACCAGGCCAGGTGTGTGTCCACCACCCCAGGGCCCCGTTCTGTGGCGCTGGACAGAGCCCCAGGAGGGTGCGCTGAGGACACGGGGGACAGGACGTGCCCGGGATGGGATGGGATGCAGAACGGTCCCCGCCCACCTGGATCCTGCGGCCCGCTGGCCAGTGCATCTCCCCACCCACCCCACCCCACCCCACCCCACCCCCCGTACCTGAGGACCCTGCACCCACGGACCCGCCTTTCCTTGACGAGGGCTGTGGATCTCTCCTGCATTGTGCTGTTTGGGGCCTGCATTGAAGGCGTGGTCTTACGAGATAAGTACGTTTCCACCTGCAGTTTTCGTGCAAAGCCTGTAGTCTTCAAGGGTTTTCCTGAGGATGAATTCGGCTTTGAAATTACATCGCCCTAGGACTTCATGTCCGCGTGCAGAGCTGAAGGCGTCCTGGTCCCAGGGTTGGGATCCCTTGGTCTGATGTGTCGTCTCTTCCGCTGGAGCCTAGGGCCTGGGGAACCGTTCAGAGCCAACTCCAAGCCCTGATGCGGCTGGGGGCGCAGGCCCTTCCTGGGGAGGCCACAGGGGTGTGGACGGGTGAGGCTTGGCCCTGGGAGATCCCTCAGCCCTGCTGCCAAGTGGAGAAGTAGTGGGGTCCCAGGCAGGTCATCACTGACCCTGCATCCTCATGGGGTGTGCGTGTCTGGCAGCCCCAAGGCCCCGGGGGTCCTGGGTGGTCCCTGACTGAAGCTGATGCCAGGCTGGGTCTTCCCTGCTCCCAAGAGCGACCCTGAGGTGAGCAGGACCCCCTCCCCCGCTGAAGACCCTCCAGAGCATTCTGGCCATGCTGGGCAGAGCCTGGTGGAGGTTTCAGCCAACGGGGACTGGAGGCCGGGCCTCAGCTTTCCAAGGAGTCGCCCCCACTGCACTGGGCCCCTCGCTCTGGGTGGGAGAAGACATTTTGTCTGACTCAGGCTCACTTCTGAAAGCCGCCCGCCCGCCTGCCCGCCTGCCTGCAGGTTCGGGGAGGCCCTGCAGGGGAACCTGGTCATCGGCATGCTGGCCTGGCCCTCCCCCTGGGTCATCGTCATCGGCTCCTTCTTCTCCACCTGCGGTGCCGGCCTGCAGAGCCTCACGGGGGCACCGCGCCTACTGCAGGCCATTGCCCGTGACGGCATCGTCCCCTTCCTGCAGGTGAGTCCCGCACCCTCGTCGGGGGGACCCTGGAAGGTCAGGGTCGGGGGCTCTCCTCCCCTGCGGGATCCTCACAGTGCCGTGTGTGGGACGCATGCCCGCGGCTTGGACCCCATGGTGGTCATTCTGCCCCTGGCCACTGCACAGAGCATGGGAGTGGTGGGAGGTGGGTGGTGGGCAGAGGCAATTCTAGCCCTCCTGCCTGCAGGTCCCTCCGAGCTCGGCCCCGGGTGTGTCAGGAGCGGCTGTGAGGGCCCACAGCCACGTATCCAGAGGTGCCTGGTCTGTTGTCTGGTCAGAAGCCCTCTGCCTGCCTGCCACATCTTTCTCTGTGTGGCTGAGCTCTTCAGCCCGTGGGAGGTGGCGTCACCAGCCACCTGCAGCCAGTGTGTGTGGCTGCTCTGAGGATTGCACGGACGCCCGCATGGGTCCTGTCCGTGTGCTGTGCCCAGAGCTGCCGATTGTGGCTCCTCCTGCTACCTGGGCCCAGGGGCAGCTGTGGGAAGGTCGTGGATGGCAGAGCCATCCTTGCCCGTCGCTGGTCCCTCGGCAGGGTGCCGACCCGCAGGGCCTTTGTGTGGTTGCATCTTCAGTCCCAGCCGGGCCTAGGGCATGGTGTCCAGGAAGGGGACAGGCACACAGGCCCCGTGGGCCTCAGCTTCTGGGAGGTGAGGGTGGCCTGATGAGAAAGGTCACCACAGGGTCTGGGGAACCGCGAGTGCCCTGGAGACGCTGGTCCTGTGTTGTGTGGTCGGGGAAACTGAGGCGGGGGGGGGCAGGCTGGGGCCACACAGGTTGCAGGCAAGCCGGGCGTAGGCACAGCTCTGAAGCCTCCTGGGCTGCAGCCCTTTGTCAGGGCTTCTTCCCAGGCCAGCCGCGTGATGTCCCGGGGACCTACTGTGAAAGGCGTTTCTGCTGGTCTGTGTCTTTAAGATTCATCTGGGCTAGACCTGACCAGCCTGCAGCTTCTCTCCTAAAAGGGTGGTGTCATCTGCCCCATCTTCCTGCCCTTCTCCCTGCAGGTGTTTGGCCACGGGAAGGCCAACGGGGAGCCCACGTGGGCGCTGCTGCTGACAGTCCTCATCTGCGAGACTGGCATCCTCATCGCCTCTCTGGACAGCGTGGCCCCGATCCTCTCCATGTGAGCCCCCACAGGACGGGGACCTGGGGATGGGTGTATGGGCCTGGAGCGTGGGGCAGTGTGGATGGGAGGTCCTGCTCAGGACAAGCAGTAGACAGGCATGGCCAGCTGTGGGCAGTCAGGATCCTGCCGGGAAGGGAGTTGCGCCGGGGAAGACAAGTACACAGGCCTCCAGGCAGCCGCCCGCTGGGGTCAGCCAGGGACAGTGTGGCTGGACAGACGGCTGCTGGGGAAGGGACGATGGCCCATCTCTTGATGGACCAGGTGGTCACAGGATGGCTGGAACCTGAGGGGGCCTGATTCGGAATCAGTCTGAGTCAGCTCACGTGCAGAGACAGACATGGGGAGAAAAGGCGCAGGTGGGAGGGACAGTGACAAGGGTGGTCTCCCAGGTGGCAGTGACTGGGGGCTCAGGGGGGCCCAGTGGGCCCGTATCAGTGGCCGGCCGTCCCTGCAGGTTCTTCCTCATGTGCTACCTGTTCGTGAACCTGGCCTGCGCCGTGCAGACCCTGCTACGTACCCCCAACTGGCGTCCACGCTTCAAGTTCTACCACTGGTGAGGCTACTCAGCACGGGCGTGAGGAGCCCCACAGGCTGGGACACTGGGTGCCTCTGCCACTGGTGAGGCCGCTCAGCACAGGCGTCAGGAGCCCCACAGGCTGGGACACTGGGTGCCTCTGCAAGGCCAGCTGCTCTGGGCCTGAAGACCCCAGCGCGTCCTTGACTGTTCCTTTGCGGAGTAAGCCCCTGCGCAGCTGATGAGACTGCACCTGAGGAAGGCCTCTGGTTACGAGGATGCCCAGGTGTCTGCATGTGCCTTGTACCTCCCGTGGTCAGCCCAGCCTTCCCAGGCTTGGGGCGTAGCCCATCAGGGCTGTGGGTCTTCTTAACTCCCCTCCCCAGGAATCAGGCGCTGGGTGGACGCTTCAGCCCCTTGTTGCATGCACAGCCGAGGTGCTGTGTGCACGCTGGGAGCTGGAGCTATGTACTGGGTTTTGGAGTGACAGCTCCCACAGGGGCCCAGGGAGCCACGTCACCCCTCAGAGGTGGTTGAGTACAGCCATGGTCGTCAGGCGTCAGTGACTGTTTTCCTAGTGTTAACAGAGAGTTTTACTGAGGGAGGGGCAGTGTCCGTGTGGTGGTGGCTGAGGTGTGGGGGCTGCATGGCGTTGGGCCGCCCCGAGCCACTTGCCCCGCCCCCAGGACCCTGTCCTTTCTGGGTATGAGCCTGTGCCTGGCGCTGATGTTCATCTGCTCCTGGTACTACGCGCTGTCCGCCATGCTCATCGCTGGCTGCATCTACAAGTACATCGAGTACCGCGGGTAAGCGCTGTCAGCCCCCCTTACAGACCCGGCGCACGGGAGGGCGGGCCCCTCTCATGCTATGCCTGGGGCAGCTCCCTGGAGGGGCCTCCCTGGGGCTTGAGCGTCGTGTGCCCTCACAGGGGCAGCTGGGAGCACGTCCAGGTGGGCTGTGTTGTGAAAGCTGGGGTTTCCCTCCCACTTCCAGCCAGGCCGAGGTGCCTGCACTTGTGGACAGGGTCTCCAGCCTGGAGCTCTGTCTCGTGCCGTCCTCAGCAGGCGGTGAGCCCACGGCTGACTATTCCTGCTACGTGTCTCGCGAGGTGTCCCCAGGTTGTGTCTGTACTCACTCGGCAGCCACAGGCGTCCTTCCCCGTGCCCCAGCACCCACCCTCCCTCCACCTGCACCCGCCTCGTGCCCGGGGTCCAGCCACTTCCCTGTCATGGGCCTCCTGCCCCCCGTCCTGTGAGGAAGGCACCTCACGCATGCTGGACGTAGACCTCGTTCCCTCCACAGCCACAGCACCCTCTGACCCGGTGGCTCCTAGGACGGGCTCCCTTCAGGGCAAGGGTGGGCATGGAGGCCTCCCTCCTCATCCAGGGACTTTTCCTGGGGGTCCTGTTTGCCCCAACTCACCTGCCCCCAGAAGTCCCCTTTCCCAGGTGGGAGAGGAGCCTCCAGGTACGCGGCTGGACAAACCCCGACTTCCTTTCCCACAGGGCCGAGAAGGAGTGGGGCGATGGCATCCGTGGCCTATCCCTGAACGCCGCCCGCTACGCCCTGCTGCGCGTGGAGCACGGTCCCCCCCACACCAAGAACTGGAGGTGAGCACCGCCCATGCCCCGTGGTCCTCAGACGCACAGAAGAGCTGTTTCTGAGGTCGGCCTTTGAGTGGGGACCTTTGAGTCTCAGGGGCCTCTCACCTTCAGCCGCTCAGGCAAGGTCTGGGGTGTGAACACTGCCTGGTGCAGAGCGGATGGCGCAGCTGGGGGCCGGGGGTGTCCCTGCTGCAGGGTGGGGGTGTGGGGAGCCGGCCCCTCTGCCAGCACAGCCCTGGGCTTGGGGTGGGAGAGGGTGGCTCCTGCTGAAGCAAAGGCCATCTTTGGGAAGCCTCTGCCCCTCAGGGCCTCGGCGGGGGCCTCAGGCGTGTGCCCCGGGCCATTGTCCCCTCAGGGGCCTCGGCGGGGGCCTCGGGTGTGCCCCGGGCCATTGTCCCCTCAGGGCCTCGGTGGGGGCTTCAGGTGTGTGTCCTGGGCCATTGTCTCACCTGTCTAGCATGTCACCTGTCCCACCTGTCTAACCTACCTGTTCTCCTGTCCTGCCTGGCTAGTGCCCACCTGTCCATCGGCCCTGCCTGTCCCACCTGGCTTCTGTGGCCTGTCTCACCTGTCACCTGTTCAACTTACCCCACGTGTGTCACGTTTCCCCATCCCATCTGTCACCTGCCCCTTTTGTCCCCTGTCCCGCCTGTCATGTATCTCCCGTCCCACCTGTGTCGTGTGCCCCGCCCGTCCCATCTGCCCTGCCTGTTGATGGGCCGTGCCCTGGTAAGCGTTGCCGTGGTAACAGCCGCCCCACCCTGGCTGCAGGCCCCAGGTGCTGGTGATGCTGAACCTGGACGCGGAGCAGGCCGTGAAGCACCCCCGCCTGCTGTCCTTCACGTCGCAGCTGAAGGCCGGCAAGGGCCTGACCATCGTGGGCTCGGTGCTGGAGGGGACGTACCTGGACAAGCACATGGAGGCTCAGCGGGCCGAGGAGGTGGGCCGGGCGGGGTCTGGGGGCCAGGCCTCTTTCCCACCCCAGCTGCACAGGAAACATGCCCTGGCATGTCCTCATCGCAGCGTGTCAACACGGTGCTGTGCGTGGCGCTGCTGTGTTTTAGCCGTGGCGGTGGCTTTGAGCTCAGAGCAGCGCGCTAAGGCCTGGGAGCACCAGCCGCACCCCGGGAAGCTTGGGAGGTGTGAGGGCCATTAGCTTTCCAAGGGCGAACCCTGGGACCGCCTCCTCCCGCCATGGGTGAGCCCCGTCCAGAGCCGTAATCATGGTTCTGCTGCAAGCTCAGTCTCCCGCTGTTCAGGCTCACTGGGGGCTGCATAAGTGTGATGCCCGTGTGCTGGGGGCTCACTGGGGGCTGCATAAGTGTGATGCCCGTGTGCTGGGGGCTCACTGGGGGCTGCATAAGTGTGATGCCCGTGTGCTGGGGGCTCACTGGGGGCTGCATAAGTGTGATGCCCGTGTGCTGGGGGCTCACTGGGGGCTGCATAAGTGTGATGCCCGTGTGCTGGGGGCTCACTGGGGGCTGCATAAGTGTGATGCCCGTGTGCTGGGGGCTCACTGGGGGCTGCATAAGTGTGATGCCCGTGTGCTGGGGGCTCACTGGGGGCTGCATAAGTGTGATACCCGTGTGCTGGGGGCTCACTGGGGGCTGCATAAGTGTGATGCCCGTGTGCTGGGGGCTCACTGGGGGCTGCATAAGTGTGATGCCCGTGTGCTGGGGGCTCACTGGGGCTGCATAAGTGTGATGCCCGTGTGCTGGGGGCTCACTGGGGGCTCACTGGGGGCTGCATAAGTGTGATGCCCGTGTGCTGGGGGCTCACTGGGGGCTGCATAAGTGTGATGCCCGTGTGCTGGGGGCTCACTGGGGGCTGCATAAGTGTGATGCCCGTGTGCTGGGGGCTCACTGGGGCTGCATAAGTGTGATGCCCGTGTGCTGGGGGCTCACTGGGGGCTCACTGGGGGCTGCATAAGTGTGATGCCCGTGTGCTGGGGGCTCACTGGGGGCTCACTGGGGCTGCATAAGTGTGATGCCCGTGTGCTGGGGGCTCACTGGGGGCTCACTGGGGGCTGCATAAGTGTGATGCCCGTGTGCTGGGGGCTCACTGGGGGCTGCATAAGTGTGATGCCCGTGTGCTGGGGGCTCACTGGGGGCTGCATAAGTGTGATGCCGTGTGCTGGGGGCTCACTGGGGGCTCACTGGGGCTGCATAAGTGTGATGCCCGTGTGCTGGGGGCTCACTGGGGGCTCACTGGGGCTGCATAAGTGTGATGCCCGTGTGCTGGGGGCTCACTGGGGGCTCACTGGGGGCTGCATAAGTGTGATGCCCGTGTGCTGGGGGCTCACTGGGGGCTCACTGGGGCTGCATAAGTGTGATGCCCGTGTGCTGGGGGCTCACTGGGGGCTCACTGGGGCTGCATAAGTGTGATGCCGTGTGCTGGGGGCTCACTGGGGCTGCATAAGTGTGATGCCCGTGTGCTGGGGGCTCACTGGGGGCTCACTGGGGCTGCATAAGTGTGATGCCCGTGTGCTGGGGGCTCACTGGGGGCTCACTGGGGGCTGCATAAGTGTGATGCCCGTGTGCTGGGGGCTCACTGGGGGCTGCATAAGTGTGATGCCCGTGTGCTGGGGGCTCACTGGGGGCTGCATAAGTGTGATGCCGTGTGCTGGGGGCTCACTGGGGGCTCACTGGGGCTGCATAAGTGTGATGCCCGTGTGCTGGGGGCTCACTGGGGGCTCACTGGGGCTGCATAAGTGTGATGCCCGTGTGCTGGGGGCTCACTGGGGGCTCACTGGGGGCTGCATAAGTGTGATGCCCGTGTGCTGGGGGCTCACTGGGGGCTCACTGGGGCTGCATAAGTGTGATGCCCGTGTGCTGGGGGCTCACTGGGGGCTCACTGGGGCTGCATAAGTGTGATGCCGTGTGCTGGGGGCTCACTGGGGCTGCATAAGTGTGATGCCCGTGTGCTGGGGGCTCACTGGGGGCTCACTGGGGGCTGCATAAGTGTGATGCCCGTGTGCTGGGGGCTCACTGGGGGCTGCATAAGTGTGATGCCCGTGTGCTGGGGGCTCACTGGGGGCTGCATAAGTGTGATGCCCGTGTGCTGGGGGCTCACTGGGGGCTGCATAAGTGTGATGCCCGTGTGCTGGGGGCTCACTGGGGCTGCATAAGTGTGATGCCCGTGTGCTGGGGGCTCACTGGGGGCTGCATAAGTGTGATGCCGTGTGCTGGGGGCTCACTGGGGGCTCACTGGGGGCTGCATAAGTGTGATGCCCGTGTGCTGGGGGCTCACTGGGGCTGCATAAGTGTGATGCCCGTGTGCTGGGGGCTCACTGGGGGCTCACTGGGGCTGCATAAGTGTGATGCCGTGTGCTGGGGGCTCACTGGGGGCTGCATAAGTGTGATGCCGTGTGCTGGGGGCTCACTGGGGGCTCACTGGGGGCTGCATAAGTGTGATGCCCGTGTGCTGGGGGCTCACTGGGGGCTGCATAAGTGTGATGCCCGTGTGCTGGGGGCTCACTGGGGGCTGCATAAGTGTGATGCCCGTGTGCTGGGGGCTCACTGGGGCTGCATAAGTGTGATGCCCGTGTGCTGGGGGCTCACTGGGGGCTCACTGGGGCTGCATAAGTGTGATGCCCGTGTGCTGGGGGCTCACTGAGGGCTCACTGGGGCTGCATAAGTGTGATGCCCGTGTGCTGGGGGCTCACTGGGGGCTCACTGGGGCTGCATAAGTGTGATGCCGTGTGCTGGGGGCTCACTGGGGGCTGCATAAGTGTGATGCCCGTGTGCTGGGGGCTCACTGGGGCTGCATAAGTGTGATGCCGTGTGCTGGGGGCTCACTGGGGGCTCACTGGGGGCTGCATAAGTGTGATGCCCGTGTGCTGGGGGCTCACTGGGGGCTCACTGGGGGCTGCATAAGTGTGATGCCCGTGTGCTGGGGGCTCACTGGGGGCTGCATAAGTGTGATGCCCGTGTGCTGGGGGCTCACTGGGGGCTCACTGGGGGCTGCATAAGTGTGATGCCCGTGTGCTGGGGGCTCACTGGGGGCTCACTGGGGGCTGCATAAGTGTGATGCCCGTGTGCTGGGGGCTCACTGGGGGCTGCATAAGTGTGATGCCCGTGTGCTGGGGGCTCACTGGGGGCTGCATAAGTGTGATGCCCGTGTGCTGGGGGCTCACTGGGGGCTGCATAAGTGTGATGCCCGTGTGCTGGGGGCTCACTGGGGGCTGCATAAGTGTGATGCCCGTGTGCTGGGGGCTCACTGGGGGCTGCATAAGTGTGATGCCGTGTGCTGGGGGCTCACTGGGGGCTGCGTTAAGTGTGATGCCGTGTGCTGCTGAATTTCTGCCCACTCAGAGCTTTGTGGGGAGGGACGGGTGAGTGCCCCGGGCGTGTAGCATGCTGGTGCCAGCTCTGAGCCCTGCTGCTGCAGTCGGCTGCCCCAGGACATCGGGGTCTGAGACTTTGTGTCTTCATTTCTCTGATTTTCAAACTTCTTATGGGAAGCTTCACACTATCCAGAAACGGAATGATGACACGATGAAAGCCTGTGGGGTCCCATCACGTCACGTCACGTCACGTCACCTGGAGTTACTTCTGTATTTCTTGCTAAAGCAGGGAGCTTTTGAGTGCCCACCTGCGTGATTTTCATGCCAAGGGCACCTCATTCCCAGGCAGGGCTGGCTGCCGTGGGCGCCTCGAGCCTCCTCCTTCCCCCTCATGTGTGTGGGAGTCTGTGGGGCCTATACCACGTGCCTGTTGCAGTGGTGTGTGTCCGAGGTCCCTCCCATGCGGGTGCCCCCTCTGTCCTTGCTGTGGGTTGGGAGCCAGCTCCCTGCTGCCAGGCCCCCACTGGGACCTTGTGGGTGTGTCCAGGCATCTGCAGCCGCCCCCCACCGCCTCCCCGGTCCGTTTCTCTGCACAACCACAGCCGCACTGAGGCCCGTCCAGGTCTGGGCCGGTCAGCCTAGGGGTGGGAACCCTGCTCAAGAGGGCTGTGGGCACGTGGATGGTAGCAGCCTCAGGTGGTGTGGCCTAGGGCCAGGATCCCATGGAGGTAAAAAATGGCCCCCGCCGCTCCCGCCACGTTGGCCACGTGGATGGCCACCTTCTCAGGCTGTTGCACAGGTTCGCCTTCCCAGGGAAGACAGGAGATGCTCTGGGCCTTCCCTTTCCCTGACGGCGGCGTCATGGCTCACCACGGGTTCAGGCGTTAGCTGCTATTGACTGTGAACCCGTGGATTTAGGTATCGTGGTTTTCGGGGGGATGTTCACGGTCCTGGTCCCCATATGTCCCTTTCCGTGTTCCTTATCCCATGCTGGAATGCTCTTAGGAGGAATCCCGGAGTTGGAACTGCCCTGCTGGCGTGGATTCTAAGAATCCTGGCACTGCCTGGCCTCCCTGGAGGTGTGTGAGGGCGCGTCTGTGCGCACGAGGGACAGGGCAGGGATTGCAGTGACTGGGGGATGACGGGACCCCCTGCCACGCTCTGCCACAGTCTTCACGGCCATGGGAAGAGCTGCGCTCACTTATACTCTCACGTTAACGGAGCTCACAGGCAGATCCTCTCCGTCCGACAGCCCTTCGGCTGGGGGGTCTGGGGCAGCCTCAGACAGGAGCCCGCTCTTGCGGACGGGAGGACGAGCGCACCCTGCCCCCGCTGCTCTCAGCGAGCCTTTGGCTGTGACTTAGCTGCATTGGTTGCGAGGGCTGGAGCCAGCCGCAGGCCCCGCCTTCCCTTGGCTGCCTTTGGGGCTGCACTGCCCTGGGGAGCCGTATTCTCCTCCATCGTGGCTATGTTAGTGTGAAATTAGAGAAATCTGGGCAAATCTTTTTTATTTATTTGTTTTTTAATTTTTATTTATTTTTTGAGACAGAGTCTCCCTCTGTTGCCCAGGCTGCAGTGCAGTGGCGCCGTCTCAGCTCACTGCAACCTCCATCTCCCGAGTTGAAGCAGTTCTCCTGCCTCAGCCTCCCAGTAGCTGGGATTACAGGTGCCCACCACCACGCCCGGCTCATTTTTGTATTTTTAGTAGAGACGGGGTTTCGCCACATTGGCCAGTCTGGTCTCGAACTCCTGAGCTCAAGTGATTCGTCTGCTTCGGCCTCCCAAAGTGCTGGGATTACAGGTGTGAGCCACGGCAGCCGGTCTGGGCAAGGCTGTAAAGCATGGACATTTCTCTAAGAAGCGTGCAGCTTCGTGACTCATGCAGTCGCCAGGGAGGCTCATGCGCGCCCTTGTGCTCTGTTCTGTGTGGCACTGATTGGCATAAAAGGGGTCCTAAGGCCCTGGTGTTCTTGCTCCCCGCTCGTAAAGTTGTCCTCCGGGTTGAGGTCTGTCTGCACGGAGGCCTCTGCGACTGCTGCGCCGGGCAGGTGCGGGGACTTGTGATAACAGGGTCCCCGACACGGTGCTGACTTGTGATAACAGGGTCCCCGACACGGTGCTGACTTGTGATAACAGGGTCCCCGACACGGTGCTGACTTGTGATAACAGGGTCTCCCCACACAGTGTTGAGTTCCTGCCAGGCCAGGGCAGTGCCGCGTCCTCCTGAAACCCTGCAGTCCTGCAAGGTGGTTTTCCCAACAGTGAGGCCAGAAGAGAGTTGAGATCCCCAGCTCCGACTCCTCGGAGCCAGCACGTGGGGGTGAGCACAGCAGCCAGTCATGTAGGAAGTGGCCCCGTGACGTGGCTCCAGCACTTGGAGGCCCTCAGGGCCCCTCCAGTGGCTGCATCCAAACTTGGCTGATCCTGAACAGCCGTTTCCCTGGGCTCCGTTCTCCGGCCAGATCGGGGCACAAGAACAGAGAACCTGAATTGCCCTGCAGAGGGGTCTCGTGGGGATGAGAAGCAGCCGCATAAAGGGGCTGCTGTGTGGCCTTTGCTGAAATAGCCACACTTCCTGCCTTCTTCCCACATGACGCCCGATGCGGGTGCTTCCCTGTGCCTTCCTGCCCAGAGACGGCTGTGTCCACCCCGCAGCGTCCGCCTCCAGCCGGTCTCTGCCTCTCTGGGGCCCCTGCCTCCGCTTGCTGGCTGGTGCCCCTTGGGGGTAACGTGTTCAGGCCTTTCCTGACCTAAACAAAAGTCTCAAAGAGGAGCATATCTGCTGGCCCTGCACCCTGTCCCGTCTTGCGCCCGGGCAGCTGGGCAGAAGGTGGAGGTGTCTGGAGAGCAGGGTAAGGACGAGGGGTGCCTGAGGAGGAGTGGGGCCGTGGGAGAACATTGGATGTTGTTTTGTGTGTGAAGGGCTGGTGGAGCTCTAGGTGTGAGCCAGGGTAGGGGGTGAGGATACCAGTCAGGCTGACGTAGGGGCTGCTGGAATCTCGGCAAAGGAGGCAGGTGGTGGCTCTGATCCCTGAGTGGCCCGGGGCTGCTGTGATGGGACACAGACCACACGGCTCACAGCAAAGGGCGTCTGTTCTCTCCTAGTTCTGGAGCCCAGGAGTCTGAGATGAAGGAGACCGCAGGCCACGCTGCCTCCAGAGTCTCCCGGGAGGATCCTCCTGCCTCCTCCAGCTCCTGGGCCCCCGGGCGACCCTGGGCGCCTGTGCCTCCACGCAGTCTCTTCCTCCCAGTCTGAGAGCTCTTCCTGCCTTCATCCTGTAAGGTCACTTGTCAGTGGCTTCAGGGCCCACCTCTGACCCAGGATGCTCTCTCAACATCATAACCTAATTATAGGGTTCTTCAATACATCCATAAAGACAGGTTTTCCAAATAAGGTTGCATTCTCAGGTTCCTGGGGCTGGGATGCGGGTATCCTCTTTTTTGGGGCCACTATTCAACCCACTGCAATTGAGCTCTCGGCCCTAAAATTCATATCTGCCACACATGTACAGTATGTTCACCCCATCTCAGTGTCTCCTGAAGTCTCAGGCCTGCACAGACCAGCTCTGAGTCCCAACTCTCATGTAAATCTCATTGCTCGGAGCTCCCAAATCTCATCCTCTAAGCATCCAAACCAGAAGCCAGTGAAATGTGGGGTCTGGTCCATCCTGGACAAAACTGCTGTGTCTGTAGATGTGCAAGTGAGGAGGTGGTTATCCCAGAACGCAGCAGGGGACAAGCCAGGAGAGGCATGTTTGCTCCAAAAGGGAGAATCAGGTGGGAAGGGGCCACTGGTACCACACAAGGCTGAGACCCAGCAGGGCAGGCCCTGGGGTTCCAGGGCCTGAAGGTCAGAGGGTGGGAGGCCTGCGTCCACACATGCATGGCTTTAGTGCGTGGCAGGTCCTCGGCCACGCACGTGCAAACCCCATGGAGTCAAGCCGTTCCGTGGTGCAGCCTCATCAGACACCCCTGGGAAGAGACTGCACACAGCAGTGACCCCCTCCAACCCCGGGAGGAGACCACACGGCAGTCCCCCACCCCCGCCCCCCGCCGTTGCTGTTAGGGTGCTGCATCCTGGACCCCACGGCCTCCCTTTGAAGAGCTGCTAATTTGGCCCATTTTCGGGTGTTTCTGATGCACCAGGTGGATGAACCTGGCCCAGAGCGTCCGAGTGAACTGGGGGTGGGTCTGGGATGTTGTGGATCGCCTCAGAGAACTGCCTGGCGTTGTGTCCCCAGAGCAGCCCTCCACATCCCCTGCACGTGGCATCAGTCACACCTGCTCTGTGTCTCTCTCCCCAGTGTGTGAGCACGCACATACACACATACACACACAGCGGCCGGGAGCACCGCAGCACACCGTTGAGCCTTCGGGCCTTCCCTCCTGCTGGGTCCACAGAGGAGGTGGTGCGGGTGCCCTGGCCACCGTGGGTGGTGGGCGTGGGTCTGTGCACCCCATTCCTGCTGTAGCACCAACCTGTCCTGTCTCCCGCAGAACATACGGTCCCTAATGAGCACAGAGAAGACCAAGGGCTTCTGCCAGCTGGTGGTCTCGTCCAGCCTGCGGGATGGCATGTCCCACCTGATCCAGTCGGCCGGCCTGGGCGGCCTGAAGCACAACACGGTGCTCATGGCCTGGCCCGCATCCTGGAAGCAGGAGGACAACCCCTTCTCCTGGAAGAACTTTGTGGGTAGGCATGGCTGGCGGCCCTTCGGCATCCCCTCACCGTCCCCTCTGTGTCCTCTCAGTGTCCCCTCGCTGTCCCCTCGCTGTCCTCTCACTGTCCCCTCACTGTCCCCTTTTCGTCCCCACTGTCCCCTTGGTGTCCCCTCTGCATCCCCTCGCCGTCCCCTCACTGTCCCCTGTGTGTCTCCTCAGTGTCCCCTTGCTGTCCCCTCACTGTCCCCCTCTGCCTCCCCTCGCTGTCCCCTCACTGTCCCGTGTCCCCTCAGTCTCCTCTGCATCCCTTTGCCATCCCCTCGCTGTCCCCTAACCGTCCCCTCACCATCTCCTCGCCGTCCCCTCACTGTCCCCTCACCATCTCCTCGCCGTCCCCTCGCTGTCCCCTCACCATCTCCTCGCCGTCCCCTCGCGGTCCCCTCACCATCTCCTCGCCGTCCCCTCGCGGTCCCCTCACCATCTCCTCGCCGTCGCTTCGCCGTCCCCTCGCCGTTCCCTCACTGTCCCCTCGCCGTCTCCTCGCTGTCCCCTCACCGTCCCCTTGCTGTCCCTTCACCGTCTCCTCGCCGTCCCCTTGCTGTCCCTTCACCGTCTCCTCGCTGTCCCCTCACCGTCCCCTCACTGTCCCTTCACCGTCTCCTCGCTATCCCTTCACTGTCTCCTCGCCGTCCCCTCTGTCTCCTCGCTGTCCCCTCAACGTCCCCAGGCCTGTGCGCTGTCAGGTCCCGATGGGCCTTGAGGCCACCGACCCGAGGGTGTGTGCTCTGAGGCTGTCGAAGGCCCTGGCCCTGGGAGCGGCCATCTGAAAGTGTCCAGGCACTCCCTCCCCTTCTCCCAGAGCCCCGCAGGGGCTGGGGGATTCCCTGGACACATGACCAGCAGCTGAACTCTGCTGTGAGTCTCTGGCTGGTCCTTGGAGGAGCTGACGGAGTGAGGGTGGGGGCTTTGTGGGGACCCCCCTCGCCTCGCCGTGCCCGCCCCTGCACTGGCTGTGAGTCCCCGGGGAGGCCCCTTCCGCACCCTGGCCTCAGATGACCTGCGGACGGCCGCCTCTCTCCGCAGACACCGTCCGCGACACCACCGCCGCGCACCAGGCTCTGCTGGTGGCCAAGAACGTCGACTCGTTTCCGCAAAACCAGGAGCGCTTCGGCGGGGGCCACATCGACGTGTGGTGGATCGTGCACGACGGCGGCATGCTCATGCTGCTGCCCTTCCTGCTGCGCCAGCACAAGGTGGGGCGTGCGACGGGGACACGCCAGCCGGAGCACGGCCACCCCACGTGCTGCGGGCCGGGACGGGCTCCTCTGAGGCCCCACAGCCATGCCCTCCCTGTCTGCAGGTGTGGAGGAAGTGCCGGATGCGTATCTTCACCGTGGCCCAGGTGGACGACAACAGCATCCAGATGAAGAAGGACCTGCAGATGTTCTTGTATCACTTGCGCATCAGCGCCGAGGTGGAGGTGGTGGAGATGGTGAGTCCCGAGGGCTTGAGGGGAGGAGGCCGGGGGGAGGTGGGGAGGAGGTGGGGGGCGGCCCGGGAGGGCTGTGGGCCTCGTGAGGTGGGGGTGGAGGGGGAAGTGGAGATCGGGAGGGCTGTGGCCTCGTGAGGTGGGGGTGGAGGGGGAGATCAGGAGGTGGAGGTGGAGGTGGGGAGGAGAAGGTGGTGGCGATTGTGGCGGGGGCTGCCAGGCCTTGCGGGGTGGTCAAGGAGGCTTGGTTTTGGAATCGCCAGGACATCACAGAAAGCACAGAGCCCCGTGTGTTGCTTGTGGACACCTCGTGTAACACGGGTGTGGGTGTTGCCCTAGAGCCGGCATCAGCATCTCCGTGTCCTCCATGGTCCCGTGTCCTCCTCGGCCCGGGACCCCGTCCAGGACCTCACACCTCAGTGGTGTTGCCATGGTGGGTGCACCTCTGAGCACCTCCCGTTTTGGGTGCTCTCCCCAGATGGGCTCACCTTCCCACGGCTGGAAACCACACATCAGCAGTCGGGACCCGGGGAGAGGGGCACTGCTCAGTGAGGCCAGGCTGCAGCTGTCACGTGGGACAGACAGGCCCTCGGTCAGCTATAGGCAGGGCCTGGACAGAGACTCGTCCCGTCCTTCACGCCTGGAGAGGACGGGGTTGATGGGCGGAGGCCTGGCATTGGAGCGCTTGCCCCCGGCCCCCAAGCATGGAGCTCTGGATCCTGGGGGTCTGGTGGGCCCCTTGTGCTGGATGGAACCATGCCTGCTCGCTACCAGCCCACCCGGATCCACGGCTGTGCCTTCCCCTCCGGTCCTGCTGGCGGTCCCGGGACTTTGTGGGTTCTGACCCCACTTGGATCACGCCGACAACACTGGTCTTGAAGTCAGAACCCGCAAAGTCCTGGTTTCTTCCGGCTCCCGTGACCCCAGCGCATGGTTTTGCAGGTCCTCAGGGGCCTGGACTCCTGGAGGTGGGTGCTGGGAAGACATAAAGCTGGATAGAGACTGTCACGCTCTCCCCCAGGAAGCCACCTGTGCCCCTGCAGCAGCCTGGGAGGTGCGGTCTCTCCAGCCCCGCAGCCCCCCAGTCCCCCAGCCCCCCAGCCCTGGGTATGGCAGAGGCCCCGAGCACCTGCTCCTGGTTTGTGTCGGGCTGTGAGTGAGGCCAGGCACGGCTTCGTGCCTCACCGACAACCTTCTGTGTTTCTGTGTCAGTTCCCGTGGAACTCAGTTGTCCTGTGGGGTTGTTCTTCCTCTTGCCCTGCAGGACCTTTCCTAGGCCGAGGGCTGCAGGCCTGCGTGACGCTGGATGGTTTTCTGCCCAGTTTTGTACACTGGGCTTAGTTTCCATGTGGCTGTGTCTTCGGGGACGATGGCTGGAGTTTGTCTTGTTTGGACGAGGCTTTGCGGGTTCAAGGTTGTAGGGGTTATTATTGGTGCTAATAGTTGTATGAATAACGTTATTTCCAAGTCATAAAACCGCTTAGTAAAATAGTAACAAAATGCTGCCTGGGAGAACCAGCCCTGCCAGGGGGCCAGGTGGGGCGGCCACTGGGGCCCAGAGGAAACAGGCAAAGTGAGCCCATGGCCCCAGCCGCACCCCCAGCCCCTCCGTGGTGCCAGAAGCAGCTCCCCAGCTCCTGAGCAGGGGTTGTTAGCTCTGAAGTCCGGGAACCTGGAGCTCCCAGCACCCCCCATGCTCCCAGCCATGTCTCTGGCAGGGCTGGGGTTGCCCACCCCTCCGTAGCCCTGGCCGCAGGGACAAGTGCCACCTGGCTGGAGAGGGGCGTCTGGGTCGCTGCCATTCAGTCTGGCATGCTGTTTATTTTTTTAAAAAAAGTTTTGAGACAGAGTCTCGCTCTGTCCCCAAGGCTGGAACCTCCACCTCCTGGGTTCAGGCAATTCTCCTGCCTCAGCCTCCTGAGTAGCTGGGACTACAGGTACACGTCACCATACCTGGCTAATTTTTTTTTTTTTTGTATTTTTAGTAGCAATGGGGTTTCACCATGATGGCCAGGCTGGTCTCGAACTTCTGACCTCAGGTGATCCACCCGCCTCGGCCTCCCAAAGTGTTGGGATGACAGGTGTGAGCCACCGCACCTGATCTGGTGTGCTGTTTTAAATACTGGTGCTTAACAGGCACAGCTGCTCCCAACTCCCATGAGCCGGGTGCGGCGGGTGAGACACAGGGATCCCGCACGGCGGGTGCGGTGGGTGAGACGCAGGGGTCCCGCATGGCGGATGCGGCAGGTACGGCGGGTGCGGCGGGTGAGACTCAGGGATCCCGCACGGCGGGTGCGGTGGGTGAGACGCAGGGGTCCCGCACGGCGGGTGCGGTGGGTGAGACGCAGGGGTCCCGCATGGCGGATGCGGCAGGTACGGCGGGTGCGGCGGGTGAGACTCAGGGATCCCGCACGGCGGGTGCGGCGGGTGAGACTCAGGGATCCTGCACGGCAGGTGCAGTGGGTGAGACGCAGCAGTCCCACACTGTGGATGTTCCGGGTGAGGCGCAGGGGTCCCGCACGGTGGGTGCAATGGGTGAGACCCAGGGTCCTGCATGGCGGGCGCTGAGGTTGTGCTGTGGCTTCTCCATGTGTTCTGGGTGGGTTTCCCATGGTGCCAAGCCCCCCTGAGCATAGACAATGACACCTGTGAGCGTGGATCATGCAGCCCCATGGGGCAGTGCCTCGCCCTGAGCCGTGTGTGCCAGGTTGGTTTGTGGCTGTGGCCTTGTCCTCACAGCTGCCCTTGTGCCCGGTCAGAGGGTCCTGGGGAGGGACATGAGCAGAGCGTGTGTGCGGCGTGACTGCCCATCGTGCGCTCACACCTTCCTGGCCACTGGGCGGGGGGCCTGAGAGCCAGAGGGGGCCTGTGGGGCCCGGGACGCGTGGCCTTTCCCACCGCTCAGGGTGGCTCGGTCTCTGGGTACCAGGCTGGTGTTGGAGCCATCCGTGGTTCTGTGCACACCGGGCTTACTACGTGCTTGGGAACTTTCTAGGTTGAAAACGACATATCTGCTTTCACCTACGAGAGGACACTAATGATGGAGCAGAGGTCGCAGATGCTGAAGCAGATGCAGCTGTCCAAGAACGAGCAGGAGCGAGAGGTACGTGGGGGCCGTGGCCACAGACACCAGGCTTTCTGAGAAGTATAGCCGACTTCGCTGAGTCTTTTCTGGGACCCTCTTGCAGCCCACGACGGTCCTCCAGAGAGCATGCCTCAGGTACTGCGTCGCAGGCTCAGCCCCCAGCCTGCGTGGAGGTGGCAGAGGCCCTGCAGGAGCACAGGAGTGGCGTCAAAGCCAGAGCTCATCGGAGCCTGGGCGTGCGGGTGCCTGGTTAGAGGAACGGCAGCCTGCCAGATGCATGCTCATGTGCAGGAAGGGACGAGGGCCGAGACCTTTGAACTTAGCTTTTCTAACCGAGCAGCGTGCAGGCAGGAGACATGGGGACCCTCCCCAAGGGCAGTGCCCTCTGACAGGGTCAGCGGCTTCTGAGCCGGATGAGTGCCCACAGCTGCTTACGATGGCTGCTTTGTCTCACAGCCTGAAACCCTGGAGCCCCTCAGTGCCCTTCCCCGCAGCATGCACAGATTTCTGTCCTGTCTAAGACCAAGTGGGAGGGGAGAGTGAGTGTGCAGGGAGGGAGGGAAGCGAGCTGGAGGGGAGTTGCCAACCCCCCCACCCCCCACCCCCCGACACAGACCTGTGCAGCCTCCGTGCGTGGAAGCTGGCCGCCTGGCTGCAGCGGCTTTGGCTCCGTGGGTAACTGTAGGCTGCTGAGGACGTCTGGGTGTATCCATCTGAGTTATACTGGCCTGGGCCCCATGGCCACTGTGAGACCCCAAGGGCAGGCGTCTTTGTGGTCACTTCGCACTGGAGGACAGCACGGGGGTCACCTGGTAGCGGGATGCTCAGCTCTGTGAGGTCACGGCCTCATGGGGTCTTCGTGGGTCCCACTTGGCTGGTATCACACACGTGTGTGTGCAGACCAGGTGCAGGTGTTGGTTTTCTGAGACTGCAGTGACGGCGGAGGCAGGGGCAGAGGATTTGCCTGCCCTGGGGCCTTGGCCTCAGCAGGAACCTGCAGTACACGGGTCTGCGTGTGGGGCCATATGTGCTGACAGCCGGAATCACTAAGCAGCGACTGCTGCTCTCCCCCAACAGAGAAAGGCGTGTGGAGCTGCGGTCCTGTCCACTCCCAGACCCCGGGCAGGTCAGGGTGGGCACAGATGCAGGACACGGGGGGCCGCCCAGCTTGTCCGTGGACAGAGACCCCTTCCACGGGGGTCCGGGCAGCCGGGAGTGTCTGGGAGGACCCACATCCTCTGTTTTCTGTCCAGGCCAGGTCCCTGAGATCCGGCAGGGTCGCCCTGGCGTCACAAGGGTTCAGCCCGGGTCCAGCTAGGAACAAGAATCCACCCATGGCTTCATGGGAAGTTCAGTGTGGAGAGTCAGCAAATGCTGACCGAGGAGGGACCGGGAGCGGGAACAGCAAGCTCGAGCTCGAAGGGCCCCTCCTGGGCCAGGTGGGGGTTGGAGGTGTCACCGCTCTGCAGAAGCCGGGGTTTGGATGAGCTGCTGTGCAGACGCTGGGTGGACACCCTCTAGTGACTTACACGGTGGCCCTCGGGCCAGGTGGGCGGCGCTGGCTCTGCCGAGAGCGGGCAGCCCTTGGGCTCTGGTTTCACGTTCAAGGCCATGGGAAATTTAGGCTGGGCCGGGCGCCACAATGAGTAGAGGCCTGGGGCCCACTGTCTGTGTCCAGAGAGGGAGGCAGCCCCAGGCCCTCCCCGATCTGTGCCAATCTCTTCCCTTTCGGGAAGGACCGACATCCAAGTTAAACAGTTTTATCCGGGGAAGAAGAACCTGGTCCAGTGAAATCACTCTGGACCTTTGGCTTTTTAAAATCACCCCGGGGCTCACAAACTCCTGATGCCCCTGGGACGAGTGGCTCCCCGGGCTGCGTCACAAACTCAGGCGGGGCTCCAGCCACAGTGGGAGAGGTGGCCATTCCGGTGTGTGCATAAATACCACTTCCAAGGTGGCACCCGTGTCTGGGAGCTCCCATTGGCCTACCTGTCAGGCTGGCCACGACAGCACGGAGGGCGTGAAGGGTGCAGGGAGGAATGAGAACCCAGTGGAGGGTGTTTAACCACCAGGGGCTGCGCCATTGGTGCGATCTCGCGGTGAGGGCGCCACTTCCCCTTCGGCGCCTACAGCTAGGGGCGTGGACGGTGTTTTCATTTTCCTCGGATTGTCAGAAGTGACGCACAGGGGGCCGGCCCTGTCATTGGCCCCAGCGGTGCCCCACAGGGCCCCTGCCAGCCTGGCCGGCCCCCAAACGTCCCCTGGCTGGTCAGACACAGCCTGCTTCCCCGGGGACAGGGCCTGGATGCTGGTACGGCCCCACCTGCCCCAAGCCTCCCTGAGACGGGGATGCCTGCGTGCTGGTTGTGTGGGCGAGCAGGTGGTCTGGGGTGAACACGTGTGTGGAGCCCCGTCAGGTGAGGGGGAGACTCTGCCAGCACGTGTCACCTCCTGTCAGTACGGGGTCATGGGGCCTTTCCAGTTCAGGGCCAGGGCGGGAAGGTGAGGGGGTGAGCGTTTGGTCAGGAAGCCTGGGAGGAGGGAGGCAGTCACGGGGGCGGCGCAGGACCAGTGTGGGACGCCAGGCTGGGTCCCGGGTCAGGCACACAGGGCCCTTCAGGTTCTGTGAGCTGCCCTCACCTCCGGCCTGGCATCCCGGGTCGCTCTCGCCCAGAGGAGTTTTGAGACCGGCTGGTCTCACCGAGTCCCGGGCCCGCCAGGCCCAGCTGATCCACGACAGGAACACCGCGTCCCACACCGCGGCGGCAGCCAGGACCCAAGCGCCGCCTACGCCAGACAAGGTGCAGATGACCTGGACCAGGGAGAAGCTGATCGCTGAGAAGTACAGGAGCAGAGACACCAGCCTATCCGGTTTCAAAGACCTCTTCAGCATGAAGCCGTGAGTGTCCGTGCGTGTGGCCTGGGGGGAACAGATCCTGGCAGTGCTGGCCCGGCAGTGAGGACAGAGTCCCTTCCCTGACCACTGAAGAGCTTCGGGGCAACCCTGCAGGCCAGTGGGCCCGTTAGAGAACAGGGAGCCGCCTGAGTGGGCACTGAGGGGTCCTTTTGGTGCCAAGGCTGGGCCCTGAGTTCAGCCCTGTGGCCGGGCGCTGAGGGATCCTTCTAGTGCCAAGGCCGGGAGTCCTTGTAAGACCTGGGTGCCAAGTGCTGAGGGGTCCTTCTAGTGCCAAGCGCTGAGGGGTCCTTCTAGTGCCAAGCGCTGAGGGGTCCTTGTAGGACCTAGGGTGGGTCCTGATGTTAACCCCACAGCTGGGTGACGAGCAGTCCTCCTGGTACCTGGGCCAGCCCTGAAGTCAGCCCTGCGGCCAGGCCTGCTTTGCTCAGGCAAGCCTCACTGCAGCAGGCAGATGAGTCTGTTCCATGGAGGCGAGGAGGCTTGTGCCGCTGGGCACAGAATTCCTGGCCTTCACCCTGTGGGTAGTTCAGGCTGCTGTCGGGCCCTAGGGCCTGCCCTACGCCAAGGCTCCCACCTGTGGCCTTGGGCTGCGAACACCAGGGCTGTACAGGGTCCTTGCGGGTGTGGGTTTGGTTCTGCAGACGCAGCCTCTGAGTTCCAGATGAGAGCGCAAGAGACACCTCTCACCCGGGGTCAGAGCCAGACCCTAAAGCCAGGTTCTCAGGAAGGGCTGGGGGCTCCTGGGCCCTGTGGGGTGGGATGAGGCGGCGTCCTCCTGGGCAGCCATGCGATCTGGAACAGCCTGGTGCTCTCTCCTGAAGTCAGTAACACACTCTTGTTTTTTTCTCCTGCATAGAGAATGGGGAAACCTGTAAGTCCACTCGCTACAACCAGGTCGCCTTCCGGGCCCGGTTGCCCTGCATGCCTGTGTGTGTGTGGCCTGCGTGTGTCTGTGCGCGTGTTCTAGGCCTGTGCCTGCCCCGTGCACGGTGGCTTGTGTGCGTCCGCGTACAGCCAGAGCTCACCCAGAGCTGCTGCGGCTCCCACGTCAGTTTCCTGTTGCCTTCGCTCCCCTCTGTTCACGGTGGCTCCAGCACACGCCTGAAGCCTCTTCCTAAGTGAGGCCCAGGAACTGAGACCTGGGAGGTGTCCGAGCCGCTCCGGAGTGGAGGGGAGGCGTGCGCCTCGCAGGGCCCGTCAGTGAGTCCATCCACGTCCTTCTGGGTCAGGCGCTAGCTGAGTCGCGTTCCCACCTGGAATGCCTTCCATGTTAAAGCTGTCCAGCCTCCAGGCGGAGAGGGGTGCAGATCAGTTCTCTGTGTGGTCGGACCCTCGGCAGGAGCTACCTGCGTCTGAGCTCCGGGGCAGGTGGGAGGGTGTACCCTGGACGGACCCCCAGGGTGCTCCCTGGGAGTCCTCGATGCCGTCTCTGTCCCCTGCCTGCCCCCGCCAGTAACCGCCTGGGCCATGTTTTCCTTGTGGGCAGGCAGTGCCTGGTGCCTGAGTGAGGAACGCCTTGGCTGAGTGGCCACACTTCCCTTCCCTTTTTATCTTTAACCCCGAAACCTGAATTAATCAGACTCAAGAAACTGTGCAGCTATGTGCGAGGCGTGCAGGGAATCCCTGTACTTCCTGCTCCGTTCTGTAAATCTGAAAGTGCCTTCAGAATAGCGTGTTAATTAAAGCCGCAGAACGACGTAGACCCAGGAGTAGGGTTTGACACACACATGCACAGGCACACACACTCGGGGACCCTCAGTGGCACCTGTGCCTCCTCCCAGCGCCGGGGCTTGCCTCCCCTTGGTCGGGGCGGGGGCAGGTCCCCACAGGCCTGTAGGGTCAGGAGAAGGTGGGCCAGAATGGACAACGCGTGGGCTTTGTATTCATGTGTGGCGTGCGTCTGGGATGGCATTGACTCTCTTGGCCCAGCAGTTTCTCGGGGTTGGGCTGGGAGAAGCCCTCCGAAGATCTGGAGGTCGGCCCTGACCTCTTCTGGGCAGTGTGGGCGTGAGATGTGCGTGGCTTACTGTGACGTCCCCGGGAGCACACTTAACGGATGTCTGTTTGTGTGCGTGCTCGCATGTACCTGTCAGCGCACCTGCCGGTGGACGTGTACCTGCCTGTGTGCACGTCCACGTACGTTAGTGTGCATGTCTGTGTGCACATACTATGCATGTCTTACATGTTAGTGTGTCTGCACGCATTTGCACATTGTGACTGCATGCCTGTTTGTACATGATAGTGTATGCACTTGTGTATTAGTGTGACTATGCCTGTGTGTGTACACATCAGTGTGTCTGCATGTATGTGTGTGTGCGTATACACATTAGTGTGCGTGTCTGTGCCTGTGTCTGCACTGGTCCTCCTTGCTGTGGCGGCCGGCATACTCCACCAGTAGCCAAGGGCCAGGTCTCCGCCTCACCCCAGCACTCACTGGCTGTGGACACGCTGCCCACTCCGACCCCCCTGTGCTCCTGGCCTGCTTTCACTTCCTGGAGCTGCTCTTTGTCCCCAAACACACTGGTAATTGTGGTCTATCCAGA
Organism: Homo sapiens; assembly: GCF_000001405.40. Classification (NCBI taxonomy): domain Eukaryota; kingdom Metazoa; phylum Chordata; class Mammalia; order Primates; family Hominidae; genus Homo; species Homo sapiens. The sequence goes on along the minus strand of NT_187548.1, from coordinate 73,418 downwards.
AGTCGAATTCAAAGTTCCAAGTTCCTGGCACGAAAGCCCCTTGACTGTGCTGTGGACAGAGACCCCATCTGTAATTAGACCAGGCTGGAGAGAAGATAGAAGGTCTCTCCCTGTGTTCCTCCTGGAAATTGGTGGTTATGATCACGTTTATGTGGCTTAAGCGTCAAGCGGATCAAAGGGCGTGAGCCTGGATGGCGTCCGTGGGGCCTCTCCGTGACCCTGCGTGGGCGGCCTCTGTCTGTCCGCCGCCGCCCCTCTGCGTCCAGGGCGCTGGTGACCTCCCCCAGGGGGCCACAGTCACGACCGCACGGCTGCAGCTGGCCTGAGACCCGCTCCGACTTTCAAGTCCACACACGGGCCGGGTTTTTCCAACACAGAAACGCAAGTGCTCCCCTCCGCCCAGCGTTTCCCCAGGTGGCCTCCTGGAACGCCAGTTCTGCTGCAGTTTAGGGGCCTGCCTAGGAGGGGACCGTGGGGTAGAGGAGGGAGATAAGCTCTGTCCCGCAAGGGCCTGAGCACCTCACAGCATGATTCTGCAGTGTCCCCAAACCTACTTGGTTGGGGAGCCTCCTGTGGGGCTGTGGCCGGGCCCAGGCCGCCAGGGACGCTTTGAGACATGGACCGGCCACAGCAGCTTCAGAGAGCAGACAGGGAGGGTCGTGGAGCAGAGCTGCGTTGTGAGGACGGAAGGCGGGGGCTGGACGGCCACACGGTGGAAGTGCTTGTCCTTTAGCCCTTGGCCAGACAGGGGCAGGGTGGGCCGTAGGAGGGGACCCAGTAGTGGCCACTGAGGGCCTGTGCCTCCAGCTGAGTCCTCGGCATACCCTATCCTTGTCAGGCCTGGGAGCTTCAGCAGCAACGGCTGCACAGGCCGGTGTGGGGGACTCTGGGCCTTTCCTTCCTGAGCTTCCGGCCCCTTGGACCCAGTTGTATCAGGACCCTCGGAGAGGAGGCCATGTGTGCCCAGCCTGACGGGTCTGTGTTTGGCAGTGTCTGACGTGGGGTTTAGGGGCGATGATGTAGATGTCAAGAGAAGCGTGTCAGCCTTGAAGGCGTCAGGCACATGGGCCACCCAGACGGCTTCCACTGTTCTGCCTGCTTTGCAGATGTAGATGTAGTTAGGAAAGCGCTTGCGGTTTGTGTTGTGTGACTGTAGCCCTTAGAAGCTTGGCAGCCTTAGTGGGCTGAGTTCTAGGTCCCTGGAGGCCAAAGCATCCCGCTGCTGAACGCCCGCCCTGGCTGCAGTCAGCGCCTTTCGCTCGGAGCCGCCACTTCTGCATCCTTCAGGGTCAGAGAATCCGCCTGATCCTGACTCACACAGCCCTTTCCAACACGTGTGAATGCAGCTCATCAGGGCTCAGCTCAGCCTCGTGTCCGGAGCGTGGGGTGCACCCGCCGCCCGCTGACCGTGCCCACCTCCCCTGCAGGGACCAGTCCAACGTCAGGCGGATGCACACGGCTGTGAAGCTCAATGGCGTCGTCCTCAACAAGTCCCAGGATGCGCAGCTGGTCCTGCTCAACATGCCAGGTCCTCCCAAAAACCGGCAGGGAGACGAGAACTGTATCCTTTCTTGCAGTGTGCCTGCTGAGCGTGCGGGCACCCCCTGGTGGCTTCTCGCTAAGACCTGCGTTTGTGGGTGCTGGGAGTGAGGCTGGCTTCCCGCCTCTCCTTCAGCCCCAGGCCCTGGGAGCTACGACCGGGATGCAGTGGGGCTCTGAGCCCAGTGGTGACCGGGCCAGAGTTGGGGCCAGCCCTGGCATTGGTGTGGGGGAGGGAGGGCCCGCCTACAGTACCAGCCCCACTGTCCCCAGGTGCTCAGGGCTGCCCTGGGGCTGGGAGGCTCCCTGTCATGCATCCCCACAGCAGCTGTGCATTCTGGGACCTCCGCTGGGGCTCAGCCCCACCCTGCGCCGACAACGGTGGGAGGTGAGGAGCCCAGCTCTCGGCTTTAAGGCCACAATTGGTCGCAGCTTTGGGAATTTGTGCTTTGGAAGGAGAACTCCGCAGTGCATCTGGGCGTATTGGCACAGACAGGGTGACGCCTGGCACATCCCTGCCAGGTTGGCACCAAGAACTGGGGCCAGTGAGGGCATGTCCTCCATGCGTCCTGATCGGAATCCGTGGCCCAGGTCCCCTGTAGGCTGGTGAGGACCCAGTCCCGTGGCTGGGGTTCCCTGTCGGGTGGGGTCAGCACCGTGGGCTGTGTCGCTGTCTCTGCTCGTCCTCCCTGTGGCCACGGTGCTCCCTCTCTTTCCCGAGCACTGGCCCCTCTCTCCCCTGCCCTGCTCCTCCCCGCCTGGGGGGTCTCTCTAATCCCCACCTCTCTTTTCACCTTGGCTCTGGGTTTCTCAAACCAAATCTTAGCTAACCAGGAGAGGATAAACCTCACTCCTATCACGATTTCAGCTACACACGCTCAGGTAAGATCAGCTGTGGCCTTAACTCTGTTGACCACAGACATGGAGTTTCTTGAAGTCCTGACCGAGGGGCTGAACAGAGTCCTCCTGGTCAGGGGTGGCGGCCGGGAGGTGATCACCATCTACTCCTAATGCCCAACAGCATCACGGCACTCTGGGACAGGCACGGAGGACGGCGTGGGCAGCCTGGGCCTGGGCTTGGCCCAGGGAAACAGACGGCAGACACACCTGTCCCCCAGTGATGCCGCCCAAGCTGCCCATGGGGCTTCCTACGGAAGTTTCTAGGCCCGTCACCTAGGGCTCTCCTGTTCAGCCTTAACAGGCTCAGCAAATCAGGGCGTGGCTGGACGATTTCCTTGCATCTGAGGGCAGACGCTGCTACCGGAGTGACCTGGACGTGGCCAGATCTTCTCGCAGGTCACAAGAAGCCAGTGAGCCCTTGCCTTGGTTTCTGGAAGTTCTTTTCCTTGGCTGGATTTACCCAGTGGTTAGGTTGCATTTCTACCCCATCCAGAACATTCTTGGAAGAGCACCCGGAGCTGAAGCTGTCCCTGATGATGAAGGTGAAACGTCAGCCCTGGCCATGGCTCCGCTCAGGGCCCCGGTCACCTCCGAGTCACTCTGTTCCTTGACTGTCTTTGTGTTTCTGTACCTCAAGGCACTGAAGCTGGAGGACTCTGTCCATGCCCGTGTCACCCTCGTGTGGGAGCCTCTGGGCTCGGCAGGTCCACATTTCATGAGCTGAGGCGTGGGCCAGGGCCATCTGGAAAGGGAACTCGGCTTTTCCAGAACGTGGTGGATCATCTGTCGGGTGTGTGGTGAACACGTTCAGTTCATCAGGGCCTACGCTCCGGGAAGGGGCCCCCAGCTGTGGCTCTGCCATGCCGGGCTGTGTTTGCAGCTGTCCGAGTCTCCATCCGCCTTTAGAAAACCAGCCACTTCTTTTCATAAGCACTGACAGGGCCCAGCCCACAGCCACAGGTGCGATCAGTGCCTCACGCAGGCAAATGCACTGAAACCCAGGGGCACACGCGCGCAGAGTGAACAGTGAGTTCCCCCGACAGCCCACGACAGCCAGGACTGCCCTCCCCACCCCACCCCACCCCAGGAGCACGGCACACAGTTCAGCCTCTGAGCTGGCTCACACGTGCCATCCCCACCCCGGTGCTCCAGGGAAGGAGGACACGGACCCGACGTGGGAGGTCCTCAGGCAGCAGTGGCGCCTGGTGTCAGGTCTGTCTGGCTGAGTCCCGGGCGTCCCCTGCCATGGCCTGTGCCTTGCATGGAGGCGGCGGTGGCACTGAAGAGATAGCTTTCAAGGGCCCAACACTTTGCACTTCGGCTGGCTGTGAGTTTCTGCTTTGTAGGTTGTGGTCACATTTGCAGGCTGCGGGCAGTGGCGCCGACTTGGGCCTCCCTTTCTATGTGGCATATTTATTTATTTAAACACCCCAGGGAGTTACGTGGTAACAAGGTTGTCCATAAAGAGGTTGCTTCTATATACTAGAGGCCCCAGATGGCCAGGCCTTGGGCTACGTCTGGCTTGCATGGTCTCCCAAGGGAATCAGCCCCATCAACAAAGTTCAAATCGGGGCAGAGGCTGCACTTGTGCCCCCAGATGTTTCTGAGGAGCCAGACTAGGGCTGGCATTGCTGTAGAGTGACGGCTGCTGCCCAGAGCGTGTCCCAGACATCACAGCGGGGCTCAGCAGTTCCCACAGCCTCTGCCTGCCTTGGCTAAGCATGAGTTAAGCAGCAAAACGCTCCTCCATGTCTGGATGGGGCCGGCAGGTCCTGTGTCCCCTGCACCTGGAGGAGAGCAGGCTAGAGGCACAGCGGCCACATGGTGCTGGCTCTGAACGTTGGTTGGTGGCTGGAAAACAGCCCTGCTTCTGAGGGCCGCTCAGTTCTGCACACGAAACCACCTCCTGAGGGCTCAGCTCTGCCCCCGCCCTGGGCTGCAGCCTCTGCACGCAAGCACCAGGCATCCTTTGTGTTGTCAACTCCGTGTAACCAGTAACTACAGCCATTTACAATTGACTCCGTTTCCTTTTGTAGGTTTCCCTGTCTGTCTGTGTTAGTAGAAAAATAAAATCCTATGAAATCTGAGTACGTTGAAGAATCTCTTGAGTCTCATTCAGCATGAAAGACAGCTGGAGAAAATGTACTGGCCGCCCCTTTTCTAGCAGGAGCGTCAGGGCTGACCAGCCACAGCCAACTCAGGTGGCTGAAGAGTGACCATATGAATTGGACGAGGGCTTCCAAATCATGTCATCGGCTTGGAAATGACCTTACCCCAAACTTCCTAGTGCTGTGTGTTGAAGTGACCCAATCTCTGTATTTCTGAGACAGTCTCTGTTGCCTAGGCTGGAATGCAGTGGCGTCACCTCAGCTCACTGCAACCTCCGCCTCCCAGGTTCAAGCTATTTTCCTGCCTCAGCCTCCCGAATAGCTGGGATCACAGGCGTGTACCACCACGCCCAGCTAATTTTTGTATTTTAGTAGAGATGGGGTTTCACCATGTTGGCCAGGCTGGTCTCGAACTGACCTCAAGTGATCTGCCTGCCTCAGCCTCCTAAAGTGCTGGGATTACAGGTATGAGCCACCATGCCCGGCCATTCGATTTATAATTTAATTTATATAAGGATGGAGGCACCAGAGAGTCCGCCATGAGTGGGGACAGCGTGTTCTAACTCGTGAGATGCCAACTCACACCTGTGATGGTCACAGCCAAAACCAGAGAATCGCGGGGAGGACGTGCGGAATCGGACCCCTCTTGCAGGGTTGTAGCTGCACGGGAAGGGCCTGTGGTTCCTGAAAGTGTGAGAGACAGAGCCGCCCCTTCCCCGGCAGGTCCACTCCTGGTGTGTGGCACAGCCTCAGGAACGGGTGCACGCAAGTTCACAGCAGCCAAAATGGATGCAGCCCGAGAACATGCTGAGTCCATGTGGGCCGTGCCTGCTGCGGGCCTCACTCAGCTAGAACCAGGAGCCAAGCTTGGAAGCCTCACGCTCGGGAGGAAGCTAGACACAAAGGGTCTCACGCTGTGGGACTGCACTTAACACGAAATGCCAGAGTGGGCCAGGCACAGAGGCAGGGGGTGCACTGGCGGGTGCTGGGGGTGGGTCAAGGGGAATGGGGGGAGATGGGGGATGGGGGGAGGCTGCTTACAGGGTATGGATTTCTTTTTGGGTGAAAATGTTCCGAAATGGCTGTGGTGAAGCTTATGTGACTGAACATGCTGGAACACTGCCTCGTGCACGACGAAGGGCGAATTGTGTGTGTGAAGCTGCCGGGCACCGTGTCCAGTGGGCCTGACACATGGTGGACAGGAAGGGACACGGCACAGGAGGGTGGCGGGTCCTGCTCTGGCTCTCGGGTCACAGGAGAGTGACCGTGAGAGCAGCGTCGTCCTCGGACCCCCGAGGGGTGAGTGCTGGCTGCACCCAGGCATCCACACCCGGGACTCAGAGCACGGGAGCGGCCGGCTGGGGTGGGCCTACTGTCCTGAGGGCCAGATGCTCACAAATTCCAGCAGGGAGGTTTGGAGACCCACTGATGCCTACACATCTGGGACCAGGGCCCAGCCAGAAACCCCTAGGTGTCCCCTTCCCTGGGACCCCAAAAACCAGGCTGCTTCCTAGCCTTGGCCGGTGCTTCCCAAGGAGCAAGAACTCGGCTAGAGCAGTCACCCACTCATTCACACACTTAACTCGCCCATTCACACGCTAACTCGCCCACTCATTCACACACTAACTTGCCCACTCGTTCACACACTAACCCACTCATTCACAAACCCACCCACTCATTCACACACTAATCCACTCACACACTAACCCACTCATTCACACACTAACCCACTTGTTCACACACCCACTCAACTCACCCACCCATTCACACACTAACTTGCCCACTCATACACTAACTCACCCACTCATTCACACACTTACCCACTCATTCGCACACTCATTCACTAACCCACCCACTCGTTCACACACCCTCATTCACACACTAACGCCCACTCGTTCACACATTCACCAACTCATTCACACATTAACCCACTGACACACACTAGCCCATTCACTAACCCATTCACACACTAACCCACTCGTTCACACACCCATTCACAAACTCGCCCACTCGTTCACACACCCACTCATTCACACACTAACCCACCCACTCATTCACGCACTAACCCACTCATTCACACACCAACTCACCCACTCATTCACACACACCCGCTCATTCACAAACCCACTCGTTCACACACCCACTCACACTAAATCCCTCATTCACACACTAACCCACTCATTCACACACTCACCCACTCGTTCACACACCCATTCACACAACTCATCCACTCATTCACACACCCATTCACAAACTCGCCCATTCGTTCACACACCCCCTCATTCACACACCCTCATTCACACACTAACACACTCACACTAACCCATTCACACACTAACCCACTCGTTCACACACCCATTCACACACTCATCCACACAATAACCCACCCATTCATGCACTAACCCATTCACACACCAACTCACCCAGTCACACACTAACCCACTCATTCACATACTAACCCACTCGTTCACACACCCACTCACACACTAACTCCCTCACACACTAACCCACTCACTCATTCACACAATAACCCACCCACTCATTCACACACTAACCCACTCATTCACACACCAACTCACCCATTCACACACTAACACACACTAACCCACTCGTTCACACACCCACAAACTCCATTCACACACTAACCCACTCATTCACACACCTATTCACAAACTCACCCACTCGTTCACACATCCACTCACACACTGACCCATTCACACACTAACCCATTCACACACTAACTCGCCTACTCGTTCACACACTAACCCACTTATTCACACTAACTCATTCACACATTGACCCACCCACTCATTCACACATTCACACACTAACCCGACACACACCCACATTCACACACGAACTCACCCATTCACACACTAACCCACTCGTTCACACAACCATTCACACACACACTCGTTCGACCATTCACACACTAACCCATTCACACACTAACTTGCCCATTCACACACTCACCCATTCACACATTCATACACTAACCCACCCACTCATTCACACACTAACCCACCGACTCATTCACACACTAACCCACTCATTCACACACTAACTCATCCATTCACACACTAACCCACCCACTCATTCACACACTAACCCATTCATTCACACACTAACTCACCGACTCATTCACACACTAACTCACCCACTCGTTCACGCACTAACTTACCTACTCATTCACACACTCATTCACACACTAAACCGACTCATTCATACACTAACCCATTCACAAACTCACCCATTCATTTGCACACTAACCCACTCATTCACACACTAACCCACTCATTCACACACTAACCCACTCATTCACACACTAACCCACTCATTCACACACCCACTCATTTACACACTAACCCACTTGTTCACACACCCGCTCATTCACACACTAACTCACCCATTCACACACTAACTCTCCCATTCATTCACACAAACACCCACTCATTCACACACCCACTCATTTACACACTAACCCACTCGTTCACATACCCGCTCATTCACACACTAACCCACTCATTCACACACTAACTCGCCCATTCATTCACACTAACTCACCCATTCACACACGAACTCATTCACACACTAACCCACCGACTCATTCACACACTAACCAACTCACACACTAACTCACCCATTCATTCACAAACTAACCCACCCATTCACACGCTAACTCACCCATTCATTCACATAGTAACTCACCCACTCCTTCACACACCCACTCATTCACACACTAACCCATTCACACACTAACTCGCCCACTCGTTCACAAAGTAACTCACCCACTCATTCACACATTAACTCATTCACACACTAACCCACCCACTCATTCACACACTAACTCATTCACACACTAACCCACCGGCTCATTCACAAACCCACTCATTCACACACTAACCCACTCATTCACACACTCACCCACTCATTCACACACTCACCCAGTTGTTCACACACACTCATTCACAAACTCACCCACTCATTGACACACTAACTCACCCACTCATTCACACACTAACCCACCCACTCACACACATTCATACACTAACCCACTGACTCATTCACACACTAACCCATTCATTCACACACTAACCCACTCGTTCACACACCCATACACACACTAACCCACTCACACACCCATTCACACACTAACCCACTCATTCACACACTAACTCGCCCACTCGTTCACACACCCACACACTAAATCCCTCATTCACACGCTAACTCACCCACTCATTCACACACTAACCCACTCGTTCACACACCCACTCATTCACACAATAACATCCACTCATTCACACACCCACTCATTCACACACTAACTCGCCCACTCATTCACAAACTCGCCCACTCGTTCACACTAACCCCCTCATTCACACACCCTCACACACTCTCACACACTAACCCACTCATTCACACACTAACCCACTCGTTCACACACCCATTCACACTCATCCACACAATAACCCACCCATTCATGCACTAACCCACTCATTCACACACCAACTCACCCACTCAGTCATGCACTAACTCACCCACTCATTCACATACTAACCCACTCGTTCACAAACCCACTCACACACTAACTCCCTCATTCACACACTAACCCACTCATTCACACACTAACTCACCCACTCGTTCACACACCAAAACACTGACCCATTCACACACTAACTCGCCCACTCATTCACACAAACTCACCCACTCGTTCACACACTAACTCACCCACTCATTCACACTAACTCATTCACACATTGACCCACCCACTCATTCATACATTCACACACTAACCCGACTCATTCACACACTTACCCACTCATTCACACACGAACTCACCCATTCATTCACACACTAACCCACTCGTTCACACACCCATTCACAGTCGTTCAGCCACTCATTCACACACTAACTCACCCATTCACACACTAACTCGCCCACTCGTTCACACACTAACTCACCCATTCACACACTCATTCATACACTAACCCACCCAGTCATTCACACACTAACCCGACTCATTCACACACTAACCCACTCATTCACACACTAACTCATCCATTCACACACTAACCCACCCATTCACACACTAACCCACCCACTCACACACTAACCCATTCATTCACACACTAACTCACCCACTCGTTCACACACCCACTCATTCACAAACTCACCTATTCATTAACACACTAACTCGCCCACTCACACACTAACTTGCCCACACGTTCACACACTAACTCACCCACTCATTCACACACTAACTCATTCACACTCATTCACACACTAACCCGACTCATTCACACACTAACCCACTCATTCACACACACACCCATTCATTCACACTAACTCACCCACTCATTCACACACTAACCCACTCGTTCACACACCCACTCATTTACACACCAACTCACCCACTCGTTCACACACCCTCTCATTCACACACTAACTCACCTACTCATTCACACACTAACCCATTCATTCACACACTCACCCACTCATTCACACACTAACTCACCCACTCGTTCACAACCCATTCACACACTAACCCACCCATTCATGCACTAACCCACTCTTTCACACACCAACTCACCCACTCGTTCACACACCCACTCATTTACACACTAACCCACTCGTTCACACACCCTCTCATTCACACACTAACTCACCCACTCATTCACACACTAACTCACCCATTCACACACGAACTCACTCATTCACACACTAACCCACCCATTCACACACTAACCCACTGACTCATTCACACACTAACCCACTCACACACTAACTCACCCATTCATTTACACACTAACCCACCCATTCATTCACAGTAACTCACCCACTCGTTCACACACCCACTCATTCACACACTAACCCACTCATTCACACACTAACTCACCCACTTGTTCACACACATTCAAACTCGCCCACTCATTGACACACTAACTCGCCCACTCTTTCACACTAACCCACTCACACACTAACCCACCCACTCATTCATTCATACACTAACCCACTGACTCACTCACACTAACCCATTCACACACTAACCCATTCATTCACACACTAACTCACCCACTCGTTCACACACCCACTCATTCACACACTAGCCCACTCATTCACACACCCATTCACACACTAACTCACCCACTCATTCACACACTAACTCCCCCACTCATTCACAAACTCGCCCACTCGTTCACACACTAACTCACCCACTCATTCACACACTAACCCATTCATTCACACAGTCACCCACTCATTCACACACTAACTCACCCACTCGTTCACAACCCATTCACACACTAACCCACCCATTCATGCACTAACCCACTCTTTCACACACCAACTCACCCACTCATTCACACACCCACTCATTCACACACTAACTCACCCACTCGTTCACACACCCATTCACAAAATCCCTCATTCACACACTAACCCATTCACACACTAACTCAGCCACTCGTTCACACACCCATTCACACACTAACTCATCGACTCATTCACATGCCCACTCATTCACACAGTAACTCACCCACTCATTCACAAACTTGCCCACTGCTTCACACACTAACTCGCCCACTCACACACTAACTTGCCCACTCGTTCACAAACTCACCCATTCATTCATACACTAACCCACCCACTTATTCACACACTAACTCATTCACACAACCCAACTTATTCACACACTAACCCACTCATTCACACACTAACCCACCCACTCATTCACAAACTAACCCATTCATTCACAAACTCACCCACTCGTTCACACACCCACTCATTCACACACCTACTCATTCACACACTAACTCGCCCACTCATTCATACAGTAACTCGCCCACTCATTCACACTAACTCGCCCACTCGTTCACACACTAACTTGCCCACTCGTTCACACACTAACTTGCCCACTCGTTCACAAACTCACCCATTCACACACTCACTCATTCATACACTAACCCACCCACTTATTCACACACTCATTCACACAACCCAACTTATTCACACACTAACCCACTCATTCACACACTAACCCACCCATTCACAAACCCATTCATTCACAAACTCACCCACTCATTCACACACCCACACACTCACCTACTCATTCACACACTAACTCGCCCACTCATTCACACACTAACTTGCCCACTCTTTCACTAACCCACTCATTCACACACTCATTCACACACTAACCCGTTCATACACTCACCTATTCATTCACACACTAACCTGCCCACTCATTCACAAACTCATTTACACACCCACTCATTCACACTAACCCACTCATTCACACACTACCTCACCCATTCACACTAACCCACTCGTTCACACACCCATTCACACTCACCCACTCATTTGCACACTAACTCACCCACTCATTCACACTAACCCACTCGTTCACACACTAACTCATCCACTCATTCACACATTCACCCACTAACTCGCCCACTCGTTCACAAACTCACCCACTCATTCACAAACCCCTCATTCACACACCCACTCATTCACACACGAACTCACCCATTCATTCACACACCCACTCGTTCACACACCCACTCATTCACACACTTAACTCACCCACTTGTTCACACATCCACTCCTTCACACACTAACCCACTCATTCACATACTAACTCGCCCACTCGTTCACACACTAACTCACCCATTCATGCACTCACTCACACACTAACCCACCCATTCACTAACTCACTCATTCACACACTAACCCACCCACTCATTCACACACTAATCTACCCATTCATTCACACACTAACCCACCCACTCATTCACACACTAACCCATTCACACACGATCTCACCCATTCATTCACAAACTCACCCACTCGTTCACAGCCACTCATTCACACACTAACTCACCCACTCATTCACACACGCACTCATTCACACCCACTCATTGACACACTAACTCGCCCACTCGTTCACACACTAACCCCTTCACACACACACTAACCCACCCATTCACTCACTCATTCACACACTAACCCACTGATTCATTCACACACTAACTCATTCACACACTAACTCACCCATTCACACACTAACCCACTCACACCCTAACACCCACTCGCTCACACACCCAGTCATTTACACACTAAGTCACCCACTCGTTCACACACATTCACACACGAATTCACCCATTCACACACTAACTCGCCCACTGATTCACAAACTCACCCACTCGTTCACACACTAGCCCACTCGTTCACACACTAACCCACTCATTCACACACCCATTCACACACTAACCCCCTCACACACTAACCCATTCACACGCTAACTCACCCACTCGTTCACACACCCACTCATTCACACTAACCCACCCACTCATTCACGCACTAACCCATTCACAAACTCATTCACACAATAACCCGACTCATTCATGCACTAACCCACTCATTCACACACCACCCATTCACACACCCACTCATTCACACACTAACCCACTCATTCACACATCCACACACTCCCTCTTTCACAAACTCACCCATTCACACACTAACCCATTCGTTCACACACCCATTCACAAACCCAGTCGTTCATACACCCATTCACACACTAACTCCCTCATTCACAAACTCCCTCATTCACACACTAACCCACTCGTTCACCCATTCACATACTAACCCACTCCTTCACACACCCATTCACTCATTCACACCCACTCGTTCACACACCCATTCACACAAACCCATTTGTTCACACACCCATTCACACACTGACCCACTCGTTCACACACCCACTCATTCACACACTAACCCACTCATTCACACACTAACCCACTCACTCACTGGTTCCCTCACTCACCAACTCGTTCACCCAGTCATCTGCATACTAATTCACTTACCTGCTCATCCACCCGTTCCCTGACTCACCCATTCACCCACTCATCATTCACTCACTCCTTAAGCACCCATTCATTCACAGCTCACCCACTGTCACCCACCCATTCATTCGCCTACTCATGTACTCATTTACCCCTCAGCCCTCACTCATCACTGTCACTCACTCATTGTTCATTCACCCGTTCACTCATTCACACACTCATTTACACACTAACCCACTCACTGTCATGCATTCATTCGCCTACTCATGTACTCATTTACCCCTCAGCCCTCACTCACCACTGTCATTCACTCACTCAGTCACCGTTCCATTCATTTATTCACCCGTTCACTCATTCATTCCCTAATTCACCCACTCATCCTTCACCCATTCACTCACTAATTTACACCAAGTCACTCCCACTCATTCAGATACAGGCTGGTCCAGCGACAAGATCATCTGGTAGTCAAAGTCTACACTCACACAAGAAAGAACAAGGCTCTTGGTTTCTGTGACCCAGGCCTCTGTCTGTGTGTCACCTTTGTCACCCGGTCTCCTGCAGTGAAGCCTTTCTGGTGCCAGCATGGTGGGAAGACTGGGCCAAACGGCAGGTAGAGCTGCCCCAGGAGCAGGCTGTGTGCCGGGAGTCCTCCGAGGAGCCTCTGCCTCCATCTTGCCTGCAGCACAGCACGGCCTTCCTTTTGGTGGCACCCATGTCCCCCGACAGGTGTGGCCCGGGAGCCAGAGAGGGACCTGATGCCATCCTGTGCTGTGTCCCTTCCCATCCACCATGTGCCAGGCCTGCTGGACATGGTACCCAACAGCTTCACACACACAATTCGCCCTTGGCCCCAGGCCAAGCTGCTGCAGCGTAACTGACAAGACACACTGATCTTTACATGTGGGTGTTTAATGAACGAGACCATTCAGCACTGGCTCACTTTTTGTGCATATGTGTTTTTTGTAGGGTTTTTGACGGGGGGGAGGTTCCTGTGTTAGTCTGTTTGGCATTGCTATAAAAGAATACCTGGCACTGGGGTATTTATAAAGAAAAGAGGTTTATGTGGCTCCCCGTTCTGCAGGCTGTACAAGCATGGTGCCCGCATCTGCTCAGCTTCTGGGGAGACCTCAGGAAGCTTCCACTCAACACAGGAGGCAAAGGAGGGGCAGGCATGTCACATGGTCAGAGCAAGAGAGAGAGGGGGAGGTGCCAGTTCCTTTAAACCAGCAGTCCCCAACCTTTTTGCCACCAGGGACTGGTTTTGTGGAAGACAAGTTTTCCACGGACGGGGTGTGGGGATGGTTTCAGAATGAAACTTCCACTTCCGATCATCAGGCATTAGATTCTCATAAGGAACACACAACCTAGATCCCTCGTATGCGCAGTTCACAACAGGGTTCGAGCACCCATCAGGATCTAATCCCGCCTCTGATCTAACAGGAGGCGGGGCTCAGGCACTCATGCTCACTCACCACCGCCCACCCCATGCTGTGAGGCCCGTTCCTAACAGGCCACAAACCAGTAGCAGTCCACAGCCTGGGGGTTGTGGCCCTTGCTCTAAAGAACCAGATCTCCCACAAACACCGAATGAGAGCTCACTCATCACCACGGCAAGGGCGCCAAGCCATATTCACCAGGGATCTGTCCTCATGACTCAAACCCCTCCCACAGACCCCACCCAGCACTGCGGATCACGTCTCAGCATGAGACTTGGAGGCAACAAACATCCAAGCCATTCACCAGGGATCTTCCGCCATGGCTCAAACCCCTCCCACAGACCCCACCCAGCACCACGGATCACGTCTCAGCATGAGACTCGGAGGCGACAAACATCCAAGCCATTCACCAGGGATCTTCCGCCATGGCTCAAACCCCTCCCACAGACCCCACCCAGCACCACGGATCACGTCTCAGCATGAGACTCGGAGGCGACAAACATCCAAGCCATTCACCAGGGATCTTCCGCCATGGCTCAAACCCCTCCCACAGACCCCACCCAGCACCGCTTTATCCTTAAAAACAAAACAAGGAATGTAAATGCAAAACTGCCGCGCGGCCTCGCCAGATTCCGGAAAACACCCGCATGTTCCTGTTCAGGGTAAACACGTGGACCCCTGCAGGCTCCAAGACTCAGAAACATTGGCACGGGCCCCCTGGGTCCCGGAAAGCACCCCCACGGTTCCTGTTCCGGGTAACCACATGGACCCCTGCAGGCTGCAAGACTCCGAAACGTCACTGGGACGTCCTTCTGGCCTGCAACCGTCTCCTGACCCTTGCAGGACACACCTTTCTCCAAAGCTGACATGTCACAGAAGTCGCCCCGTGAGTGTTGGGACCGTGAATGTGCAAGTCCCCGTGTTCTGAGCCGCACCCAGCGCGAGCCTCTCCCTCTCCCCAGCATCTGTTGCCCTGCCCCTCCCCGCCTTGACTGTGTCCTGCATGCACCTGAGCTGCTGTGGCTCCGGGACCAGGGGCTACCTCCACTGCCGCATGCTGCCCTGTGGCCCCTCCTCACTGGTGTGGGCTCCCCCTGTGCCCTGTGGCCCCTCCTCACTGGTCTGCACTCCCTACTCTGGCACTTCTCTTTCTAGCACTGCTGCCTTCTGCTGCTTGGCCTCCTGCGGGGAGCCGCGGATGCTCCCTGCTAAGCACAAGCTGCTTCCCCCCACCGGCCCTGTCCCCTCTCACTTCATGATGCACAAGCCAGGCAAAGCCTCAGCTTTTCCATTCGCTCCCGGCCTCGCACTGGGACAGCCTACAGCAGTCACCCCTTGAAGCCCCGGGAGGAACACCCACCCCAAGCATCCGGGCACTCCTTGCGCACTCCAGGGCCTCATTTTGGAATCAAAGCAGGTTTTATGGGTTACACAGACGAGCCTTAGAGCCAGGAAACATAGTGGCTTCAGATGTGTTCACCGCCATGTGGCATCGAGGGCAGAAGAGCAGAGGGCGCCTGGGCCTTGTCCACGTGTCCAAGGTGCACCACCTCCATCATGCCAGCACCTGCAGTCAGTTGCTGTTTGCTGTCGGAGGTGGGGGGTGGGGGCTGGGCTCCCCATGGGCACACAGCCGGCAGCTGCTCTGCTCCCTGCCCTGAGGTCGCGGGCTGTGGTGTGCTGGGAGCGAGGTGTGCTTGGCAGTGGCGCTAGGACGGGTGGAAGTGGTGGTGGTGGTGGTGGTGGTGGTGCTCGTGGTGGTGGTGGTGCTCGTGCCGCTGGATCACTGGCACCGCGTAGCCCTCTCCTGCTGGCGTGGGCGGCAGGTCCCGCACCACCTCGTGCTCCACTGTGGCAGGCTGAGCGTGTGGGGCCTTGAGTGGCGAGTGGCCCTCCCTGCCCTTTTGGCGGTACCGCTTGTGGCCGTAGGGTGGCGGTGGGGGCTGCGGGAGGTGGTGGCCGTCCTGAGGGGCCTGGGGCGGCAGGACGGCCGGCAGGTAGTAGCTGAAGGCTTTCCCGGACTTGCTGCTGGCTGGCACCCCAGGCGGCTTCCCGGAGCCCTTGGGGGACTTGAGGAACTGCTTCTCCGGCCCCTTCGGCCGGGGCTGCGTGTCCAGGGCCCGGGCAGCAGGCTCCGAGGCTGGCACGACGTGTTCCACCAGCACCTGTGACCTGCGGTGGTGTACGGCATGTGTATCTGGCTCCTGGGAGCGGGACCGGGCCTGGAGGTGCGAGGCCCTGCCCTGGGGCTCCTGCTTTGCTTGCACAGGAGGGGACCCTGCGGACACAGGTCAGAGTGTGAGGCCCTGGGAGTGCAGGCTCAGGTTCCCATCTCCTCAGAAACGGCCCAGGGCCCACTGGAAGAGCTGCGCCAGGGGTCCCACCTGAGGCCAGTCTGTTAGCCAAGTCTGCAGTCAGACGGCCACCAGCCCTGAAGGGAAGGGGCCTGGCCACTGTGGGTGACCTGCCTGGCTCCACAGCTCCCTGCAAAGGCCGACTCCTCTAGCCTTGTCCCCACTGTGTGTCCTGGGAGCGGAGCTTCTCTTCTCGCACAGCTGAGACCCTGCTTGGGGCGCCGTGGCAGAAAGCCAGGTTATATCAGGGAGGGCGCCCCCAGGATTCGCATCCCCTAAACCCTCATTACAAAATAGATTTGAGAAGGACTCAGGACTGCCACCTTCACAACGTGCAGTGCGAGCCCTGTAGGGTGCAGCTCCTGTGCAGAGCGCGGCCAAGGAGGGCAGGGTCAGCACACAGCGCACTGAGCCCCCATGACCCTGATCCAGCTCCACCCCTCCTGCCCCTGGGGACTCCTGAAGCCGGGGTTATGAGAGAGACTTGGCCCCAGCCCTTGGGGAGTGGCCTGGGCTTTGGTACAAGAATCTCCATGCAGGCCACATAGGGGTGCTGCTAGTCGGAAATAAACGTGTGCTGGGCAGGCTGCCAGCTATCTATGCTGCCTGCCATCCACCTGCTTGCCTGCCATCCACACTGCCTGCTGTCCACACTGCCTGGCTGCCATCCACACTGCCCGCCGTCCACACTGCCTGCCTGCCATCCACATTGCCCGCCATCCACACTGCCTGCCTGCCATCCACACTGCTCGCTGTCCACACTGCCCGCCGTCCACACTGCCCGCCTGCCATCCACACTGCCCGCCGTCCACACTGCCTGGCTGCCATCCACACTGCCCGCCATCCACACTGCCTGCCTGCCATCCACACTGCCTGCTGTCGACACTGTCTGTTGTCCACACTGCCTGCCCTGCCGTCCACACTGCCTGTTGTCCACACTGCCGGCCATCCACACTACTGGACGACCCCCTCTGCTGACTGAGCCGGTGATTCCACCCTAAAATACTGACTTCTCACCCCAAGGCAGGGTTTCCCTGAATGCAAACCCAATGTCTTCCATCTCACTTTGAACCAGGCACCCCCGCATCCGCCACATACACACACCTGGACGGGACGCCCGCCTTGCTTTCAGGCGGCACCAACAGGTAGCCAGGAGGCAGCCATGACCAACAGGTAGCTGTGGAAGGACCTGGGTGCCGTCCTGGGTGGGGTGGGGTGGGGGGGGTTGGGGGGGGGCGGGGCAGGGCAGGGAGGGGCCCCCTGCACTCAGGGCTGTGGGAATCAAGACCTTCGATGGGCACCCACAGCCAGGGCCTCACGCCCAGGGTGGCCTCCAGGACCTACCAGGGCCGAATCTGGACGTGTAGTTCTCAATCCCGGCGAGGTCCAGGTAGTGGTTTCTGCGCTCCGTGTTCTCGTCCACGCAGTAGGGCCCCCGCTCCGAGCAGGGCTGGGGGTCAGTACTGGGCCTCCTGCTTGGAGCACAGAGAAGGGCCTGACCCCCGCACAGACTGGGTGGCGCACCCCTGATGACGGGGTGCCTACAGCAGGCGGCAGGGGTCCGGGGTGCATCCTGACCAGCACCCACCTCCTCGCAGAGCAGGAAGGAGAGTGGACGCCTGGGCACAGACAGTCAAGTGCCGTCCAGAGAAACAAGGTCACAGCCGACCCCCAGAACCCTGTGAACTCCCTCCCAGGCACCAGAGCCGCAGGTGCTCTAGGGAGTGGCTCATGCTGTAGTGGCACCTGATCACCACTCTGGGACCACTGTAGCCACTGCGCCAGCCACACCCCAGCCACCCAGCCACCCCCAGCCACTGCCTCAGCCACTGCCTGAGCCATCCCCAGCCACTACCCCAGCCACCCTTAGCCATTGCCCCAGCCACCCCCAACCACTGCCCCAGCCACCCTCAGCCACTGCCCCAGCCACCCCCAGCCCTGTTGCCCCCAAAGCTGCTGAGTGGAGCCACAGGGAGCCACAGTGAGCCACAGCAAGTCCAGACTGAGGGTGTCAAGGCCGCTGTGGCTGCTGCCCCTCAAAGCCCTCTGCTCAGACAGACTTGGGGGCCCAGCTCAGCCAGGGTGCCAGATGCTGGAAGGGCCCATGCCCCACAGAGCTGCTGGACCAGGTGCCCCCTGCAGGTCTGACCTAGAGGATGGTGTGTGGCCTGTGGCCTGTGGCCTGCGGGAAGCAGGGGTGTGGCCAGGGTGCCCCCGCCTAAGGCACAGCCCCACCCTGGCACCCCAGCCCTCACCTGACGTGTGCAGACAACCTCCTGTCAGCCACCCTTGGCTCCTCTGCCAGTTCACCCTCCATCCTGCAACGGGTGGGCTCCCGGTCTGAAAGGGGGGTCCTGCCATTACTCACTCCCTCCCTCCTTCATTCAGCATTCACTCATTCATTCACTCATTCATTAACTCACTCACTCATTCATTCATTCATTAACTCACTGGTTCACTCATTCATTAACTCACTCACTTGTTCACTCATTCATTAACTCACTCGTTCACTCATTCATTAACTCACTCGTTCACTCATTAACTCACTCATTCATTAACACTCACTCATTCATTAACTCATTCATTCATTAACTCACTTGTTCACTCATTCATTAACTCACTCACTTGTTCATTCATTCATTAATCTGCTTACTCACCCACTTACTCTCTCACTCACTCACCCACTTACTCATTCACTCACTCACCCATCCATTCACCCACTCACTCCTCCATCCACTCACTTGTCCCTCCCTGTCCCGCGCACACAGCTTAGGCCCCTGCCAATGTTGGGTAGGGTCCTCTGTGTGTGCCCAGGCCTCACTCACCCTGGCCAGCAGGAGGACCCTCCTTCCTCTTGCTGGAGGGCTCAGGGCTGACGGTTAGCTTCACACGGAGGGTCTTGCTGCTGCCCGAGGAGTGGTTGACCGAGGCATCCACGACCTCATAGATGGTGTGCATGAGGCTGGACATGTCCTGGGGCCCGGCATCAGTTTCACTGACAGAGCAGACCCCAGGGGACACCACCCGCCCTCCCTGCCAGAAAACACATCCAGCCCCCGCCCCTTCCTATGCCATCCTTGCATCCACCAACAGACCACAGGAACCAACACAGGCATCTTCTCGGAGCAGCCTGGGTCTGCCCAGGTGGCCCTGTGAGCGCCTCCAGTGCCCTGAGGGCAGCCTTGCAGTGTGGGAAGCACAGCCGCAGAAATGGGCGGCGCAGGCTCGGCCCAGAAACACACGTGAACTGGGCCCTGGGGAGACGCAAGCCCAGCTGGCATGAGGACCTCGCAGCAGGCAGGTCCCCTCCTGCCCCCTGAGGTATCGCGAGGCCAGCACAGTCTGTCTGCCCCGTCTGTCTACTACTGTGGACCTGACGCAAACACAAGCTCACCTACCTCCCTGGTGACCTTCCCGCAGTTGTCAAAGTCATAGAGCGTGAACGTCCACTCCTGGCGGTCGTCCTCCTCCACCGAGACATCGCACTGGAGTGCCTGTGGGGGGACGTGGGGGCCGGGACCTCGCCTCCTACCCACGCCAACACGCCCAACTCCACAGGGGGAAGGATCTTCTGGGGCCTTTCCCAGGGGTCCCTCATGCCAGCTAGGAAAGGCGGAGCCTAGAGGGCAGCGTGGCTGGAGCTCAAGCCCTGAACCAGCAGACCCCTTCTTGCCCAGCTCCAGCCCTTCTTGGGGGGACCCAGCTTTGTGCCCTGTGATTCGGTTCCCCCACAGTGACACCTATCTCAGCTCATGCAAGCACTCCACGTCACCCAGAAGGAGAAGAGGACACACTGGCCGTCAAGTGTTGTCAATTCCAGAAATCTTGACTGGACACGGAGACCCCAGTCCTCCCTGAGCCCTCCCGGGAAACGGAAGCCCTGTGCCCTGCCTCCAGCGGGCAGAGAGTCGGGCTGTCCGTCAAGTCAGCTTTGGCATTACTCCTGTAGTGCCAAGGGCACCAAGGCTGGGAATGCGGCTCAAGTTATTTGATGCCAGACCAGTCAGTTTTGGCCAAATTCACAGCAACATCCTGCACTCTCTGGCTCCTGCTGACTTTGGCTTGCACATTCAAGTTCTGCTTCAATGCCTTAAACGGGGTGAACTGTGGGGAAGACTGAGTGAACTACGCCGTGTCCACAGATGCCCAGTTTAGGGCAACACATGCCTGTCCCTGAGCCCCCGGCCCCAGGGACGTGTTCCCGCAAGTGAGGCCGGAGAGAGACCCACGTCAATGTTGAGGCGCTGCCCGCCCGGTCCTCGCGGGCCCTCGCGGTTTGCTGCCCTCTCTCCGTCATCTGCGCTGAGGAGTTGTCCCGGGTGCTCGCGGCCCTCAGCTTTCTCAGCGGGGAGTGCCACTAGGGGGACAAGAGGAGGCGAAGGGGCTGGCAGAGGGCACATGGAGGATGTGGCCCGCCATTGGGGACCCTCGCTGCTCTCCCCTCACCACACCATGATCCTGTCCAGACGGGCCTGAGCTGAGAGCCCGATCTTGGGACCCCTGCGGAGGGGAGGGAGGCCCTATCCCGGCCAGCCACAGCCGGGTGTGCCCTCCTCTCACCAGCCCACGGTGGCCCCCAACTGCAACCACCACCTCAGAGCTGGGGGTGCAGCAGACTCCGAGGAGCACAGATAGGGGAACATAGCCTGGGCCTCCAGGAGATGCTCCCTGTGTCATCATTGGGCCCCCTCCCCATAGACACAGTCCCTCCGGCCCTCCACTCCAGAATCCTAGCACTGAGCCCACAGGCCACACAGGCCACCTGTGCACTGAGTGTGTCAACAGGCGGCCCCCTCCCCGCAGCCTCTGGGCAGGATGGATGAACAGTCCTCTGGTTTCTGGAGCACAATTATTCCGTTATTCTCCAGCACTTGCAAGCTGCGTCCCCAGGATAGGAGTGTGGGACTGTCCGGGCTCAGCACCTGCAGACAGGTGCACGTCGAGCCTGAGCTGGGACGATGCTCTGGGCCTGCCTTCCCACTGAGGGGGTGTGGGTGCCTCTCTTGGCTTCAGCAGCCATCCGAAGGTGGCCCTGCTTGCTGGCCTCCCAGCACCCTCCCACAGACCCACAGGTAAGCCAAGTGCTGACCTGCCACGCGCCACAGGTAGGACTGGTGCCACTGAGGCATACACGCGTGGCAGTGACTTAGGCTGGGCCAGCATCTCACACATCCTCCAGCCCAGGGCTAACTTGAAAATTCACAGGTCCCCTTTATACAGAGCCACCCCCATCCACAAACACAGGCTCACAGAGACTCCAAACACATAAAGGTAACGCTTAGGGCTCTGCCCATGGGACAGGCCTTTTTGGTCTCTGCTGCCAGATCGCAGCTGCCAGTCCAGCGAGGACCCTGTGAGTTGTGCTGCCAAGGCTTTTTAAGAACAAAGTGCGTCTAAGCCTGGGAAGTGCCCTCGCTCCGCACACGGGGTTGTTTTAAGGGTGGTTTTCGGCGTTGCCTTGGTACGGGATGAAGTCTGTGAGTTTGGGGAGGGAGGGCTGCGGGAGCTGCACTCACCCTGTAGGGGACACTGGTCCTCCCGGAAAGGCCCCTCCTTGGGGTCCCCATTGGGCAGCTCCTGCAGGAAGAACGGGGCAGTCAGTGGCCACATAGCTCAGTGGGCAGGCGGGGGAGATGGGCAGGAGCTCTGGGCGGCTGGACTGGAGCCTGACACTCGCCTCAGGCCTCCTGGGGCGTCTCAATCTCTGGGTCCAGAAACACCAACCCTTCGTGCCCCACTCAGCCTCAGATTTTAGGAAGCAAAACACACAGACATTCCTGTGTTGTCAGGTTCCCCAAAGCATTTCCAGGTAGAAGATGCAGCTGCCTGGAATGACCCCTTCAGTCAGTGCTGCCCTGGGGATCCCCTTGGCCAGGGCCCCCATGCTGGATTACCCTAAATGCAAGAGGAGACACACTGCCCCTTTGCTCTGGGGCCTGCTCCCAGCACTGCCCACTGGAGCCTGACACGAGGACTCCAGCCGCTGCCCGCATGGCTGCCCAGGACCCCAACATGCCTCTTATAGGGCTGCCGGCCGAGACCAGTTACGGAAAATGGGGAAAAACTTCAAACACATCCCAGCGGTGTTTCAGCTGAGCCGAAGCTCACATGGTTCTCATGAATAATCTGCAGCCTTCAGGACACAGAGAAGGAGACAGACCTGTGGTCAGGGCAGGGGCCTTGCGCAGTGGTGGAGGTGCGGAGCCCCTCGGCCCAGCACACACCGCCCTGGAGCATTTCCTGAGAGCAGGCAGCTCTCGGGCAGGCGGGCGGGAGGGATGGGCAGCTGTGTTTCTGCTTCTGATTCCAGGTCCCTGGAAAGCCGTGGAAAGCCCACAAGGAGATACAGCACAGAGCTCAGTCCCGTCCACCTGGACGGCCAGAGCCTGACCCTGGAGATGACTTTGGTGCCGAGTTGGTGTCTCCGTGGGTGGACACAGGACCCCAGGGCTGCCCAGCTGGGACTGCCCTCACAGTCCCCACGGCTTCATCCTTTCCTCCTGACCAGGGGTCATGTGCCCCTCATCTCTTCTGACCTCCTATGGGGCTGTCTGCCCTGCCGGGGTCCCTGGGGTTCCTGGAGTCTGGCCCAGGCAGGAGGCTGAGCAGGGTCACCCTCGAGGGCACCTGGACCCCCCCAAGCGCCTCCTGCCACCGTGGTCACTGGCCAGGGTCCAAACAGGGTATGGTGGAAGGTTCCAGGCTGGCCAGCTGCCACCCCAGAACTTGGGTGGGGAGAGAGGGACCAGACCCCCACCCACACATGGGCACTAAGGTGGCGCTGCCGAGGCTGAATATTGTTGAGTGAGACCCAGGCCCCCAGCCCCCCTTGTGGCTGAGCCAAGGGCCCCCCAGAGCTGAGGTCTCCTGCTGGCCGCCCAGGGCGGTGCCAAGGCAGGGTGGGCAGCTCCCAGCGGGAGGCAGGAGAGCTTGCCCTCATTTTAATAAGAAACAAAACAGCTGATTATTAAAAAGTAGGCCTCCCTCCTGGGGGCTGCAGTCCCGACATTCCGGGACTGGCTGCTGCAGCCTGAGGGGCCCCATGAGCCCAGCCCGGCGAGGCCTTTGTACATCCACACAGCAGGGAGGCACCGCTGTGAGGGAAAAGCTCTGTCCAGGTGGACGCTGGCATAAAACCAAATCATCTCTAAAACCCAGGCTGTAGTTATTTATTTATTTATTTCAAAATCAGAATAATGGGTGAGGCTGCAGTCGTGGGCTTCCATGGAGTGCAGAGCAGTGCCCAGAGCCCCAGAGTTGCAGCCCCCATGGGCACAGAATCCTCGTGGGATGGACCAGATACTAGGAGCTCTACAGCCCCTCAGGTGGACTCGTGCAGGTGCTTGGAGGTGGCTGCCGACAGAAATGGTGTCATAAGGGCAGCCAAGGCCACCAATGCCCAGGCTGAGGGATGCAGGCACTGCCACTGCGGAGGGGGGCCAAGGCCACCAATGCCCAGGCTGAGGGACG
Organism: Homo sapiens; assembly: GCF_000001405.40. NCBI lineage: Eukaryota > Metazoa > Chordata > Mammalia > Primates > Hominidae > Homo > Homo sapiens. The sequence goes on along the minus strand of NT_187548.1, from coordinate 48,765 downwards.
CAGGCACTGTCACTGTGGAGGGGGGCAGCCAAGACCACCAATGCCCAGGCTGAGGGACGCAGGCACTGCCACTGTGGAGGGCTGGTAGGGAGGGGAAGGTGACCCTAAATGCTGAGGTGGGTGCCCCGAGGCATCCCTGTCTACCCTTGGGAGCTCCAGCCCAGACCTTCTCCTCTGGGATGTGGGGAGGGTGCAGGGGACCTGTGTGGTGAAGCCCCCAGGGTTCTCAGTACCCCCCCCCCCGCACCACAATCCCCCCTCAGGCACCCAGTTCACCTCCCATCAGACCAGCAGGCAGAGCTCAGGCCTCCTGCATGGTGCTGGGTGCCCTGAGCCTCCTTACAGATAGCAGTGAGGTGCCCTGGGGCCTGAGGGCCAGCGCGTACAGCACTCCTTGCTAAAGAGCCTTAACTGAGGTCACTCATGGAGGCCACATCGCTGCCCAGATGAGGGGCAGCAGCAGTGGCTTCCTGGAAAGTGCCAGAACTCAGAGGAGCCGGAGGTGCGGTGGCTCCTGAGGACAGGCAGCGGGCGACGGGTTGGACGGGGTGGAGTATTTTTTAAGGATTTTTAAGTGTTTCCCACGATTTGCTGAACATGTCAAGTGAGAAACAGCACATCACGCACTCCACGCATAAAGCTAATACAGTGAAAATGTAAACGCAGCCCGTGCCGTGTTTCTAAAAATTCTGAGCGCACTTGTGGGGGATTTCACTGGTTACAGACAGGAGTGTAAATGCACAGGGTGACAGAAGGAGGGGCGCAGCTGTTCAAGACAGAATCTGCACAGACCCGTGGTTTGATGTCTGGAAACGCTCCGCGCGCTACACCAACCAGCCAAGCTACAATAACCAATAAAAACTGTAATAACCAACCAAAACTACACCATGTAGCCAACGCTGCACCAACCAGCCAACGCTGTATCAACCAGCCAATACTACACCAACCAGCCCATGACTGAGTTCCTAACACAGAGGAAAACCACATTGAAAAAATATCCCCTTATTCCCTAGAATTCTCAGCGCTCGAACGCACAGTGTTTTTTCTAAGACCCAGGTCAACAGCTACCTCTGAGATGCAGGGAGGATCAAACGGGAAAAAATGAGCATCTACAGTCAAAGCCACTCCAATCTCTGTGGCTGGTGATTTCATCAGATCCGTCCTGGTTGCATAAAACTGCCCTTTAATCTACGCTGCCTCGGTTAACTAGAAGGCCAAGAGCTTTAATTGCAACTTATAAAACCTGCCCCCGGGCCGCTGGCCAGATGTGCAGCCCCTCCCCACTGGGAAGACCTTCTGAGAGGCCAAGTCCGCACACAGGATCCCAGCAGGCCTGGCCCAATGTGCCCCGGCACCCACCAAAGCCTCAGCTTCCCAGGGCGGGCGCCCCTCCCTGAGATGCAGCCCCCACCTGGCCTCGCCCTCCTGAGGACCCACCCTACCCTCACTCCCTCCCGAGGGCCCAACCCTCCCCCTCAATCCCTCTGGCCCTGTCCCTAGCGAGACCCTCCTGTGATCCCCCAACCTGTTCCGCCCCCCTTCCTGTCCCAGCTGCACTTCCGGTTTGGGGTGCCTAGGCGCCTCCTCTAGCCTGTCCCACTGCTCTGCATCCCTGAGAACCCTCCAGGTCAGCAGGGACCCCACGGCTGGCCTGCAGACCTCCCCATGCCCGTTGTCCCCTCCCGCCCATGGCATCCTCCTGTGATGCCGGGGGCTCTCCTGGCCCCTGGGAGGACAGGAACCCGACCGTGGGCCTGCCCCGTGGGGCCTCATCCCATAAGGAAAGCAGCCGCATCTGCCTGAGCAGCTCAACCCCACTCCCTCACTCAGCATCACCTCAGATTTGGGAGGAGGGTCTGACCCCAACCCACGGAGGCCTCCGGGACCAGAACCCATAGCCTCGCAGCTGCATGAGCAGCAGGCGTCTGTCACACGGCGTCAACAACAGGTAGCCTTTGCTTCAGGTCCCACGGCCCTACGGGATGCTCAGGAAGGCCACCCTGGTCTGTGAGCCAACCACCCCGAGGCCACCGTCCACGTCCCCGCCACGACAGTGAGGACATCTGATCCCCGCCACAGGCACCGGGCTGAGCGCTTCGTCCTCCCAGCACCCAGCCCCCGTCCTGGTCCCAGCCCAGACGGTAAGATGCAAACCACAGCCTCCACAGGCGGCCAGGCACGGAGAGACGCTCACAAAACCTCAACCCCCAGCTTCCTTGGAAAAGTCAAAAGGAGTGTGTTCCCCACGTGCCAGCGCTCGGCAGCGCCCAGCAGCTGGAGCACCACTGCCCCCCAGAGCCACCCCGTCTGTCGGAACCCCTGCAGAGGCGCCAGGCAGCTGCAACACAGGTATCATCCTGGTGGCCTTCAACCTGGAAGTGCCGGTGCAGGCACCTCTGGGAGCCACCTGGAGCGGGCGATGTCCTCTTCCCAGTGGACAGGTGGGCACGGCCAGGCACCTTTCCCAGGTCTCGCAAATGCAAGGAGGCGCTGTCCCCTCCTGGGCCTCGTGAGGGCAGCTGTTGGCCACAGCTCTGGTGGAACGCCCGGTGGGAAACACACGGGTGTCCACAGTGAAGTCACGGCCCTCTGGGACATGACCTAAACCCTGGTCTAGGGTTCTAGAAATACCAACCCCGATCAACAGGCAAAGGCCACAGCGTGTCCAGGAGGCCAGGCTGGGAGCATCCCCTGGAGCCCAACGTCTCCCCACGAGTTGGGAGGGTGGAGGTGATGGGAGCCGAGGCAGAGGAGAGGGAGCGGGGAGGGAGGAGAGAGACAGAGAGGAAGGCTTCAGAGAACTGGGTGGGCGTGTCGGGCAGCATTTTCCAGACCTCGGGGCTCCCGGGTCCCTCTGGAGTGGGTGTGGAACCCCAAGTCTGGGACGTTATCCAGAAGGCACAGCTCCTACACCGCCTGACACAGGACGGGCCTCTCCTACAGCTTTCATCGCCACCAGCAGCACCTGGCACCCCTAGATCCATAGGCACCTCCCAGGCTGCACTCTGGCTCCCCAGCGCCTTGGCCACCTTGCACTGTGGTGGGGACGGCCCTGTTGGGTGGAGCCCCTGGCTCGAAGTTTCTGCCACTGGGGAAATGGCCTTGGTGCACCTCCCTGTCCTTGGCAGGTCAAGCAGTGGCTCTCGAGCTGTGCCCAGGGGGCCCCCAGGAGCTGGAAAGAAGGGCCGGGGTGACAGCCTGGCCCATGTCCTGTGGTCATTGTCACCACCCCTGTGGCCACCCTGTTCTGCAGGGCTAATCCTACAAACTGGGCTGCCAGGCCCAAGGCTGCCAGAATTACGGGGCTGTCGTGGCATCGAGGGCCAGTTTGTGGGGCTCAGGCAGGATGCCAAGTGGTGAGGAGCAAGGTAGGCGCCTGCCAAGCTTAGGCTGCAGCCACCGCCACCTCAGGGCACTCGGGAGGCACCTGGGATGCGGCTGGGCAGGACCAAGGCCACGTCCAGGCCAGCAGTGACCTCCTGCCTCGGGGGCTGGGAGGATGCTGGACGTGGTAGAATGAAGTGAGTGCCTGGCAGGTGGCTCAGGGAGGGGAGCTTTGGGATATGGCACACGGGCTGGAGCTGGGCCTCTCAGGAAAAGGCTGAGGGTGATGTCTGGATCCCAAGGAACCCAAAGGGCTGGGACACCCACAGTGGGTGGGAAGAGCAGGGACAATGGGCTGGGACACCCACAGAGGGTGGGAAGAGCAGGGACAATGGGCTGGGACACCCACAGCGGGTGGGAAGAGCAGGGACAATGGGCTGAGACGCCCACAGCAGATGGGAAGAGCAGGGACAATGGGCTGAGACGCCCACAGAGGGTGGGAAGAGCAGGGAAAAAGGGCTGGGACGCCCACAGCGGGTGGGAAGAGCAGGGACAATGGGCCGAGACGCCCACAGAGGGTGGGAAGAGCAGGGACAATGGACCGAGACGCCCACAGCGGGTGGGAAGAGCAGGGACAAAGGGCTGGGACGCCCACAGCGGGTGGGAAGAGCAGGGACAATGGGCTGAGACGCCCACTAGCAGGTGGGAAGAGCAGGGACAATGGGCTGAGACGCCCACAGAGGGTGGGAAGAGCAGGGACAAAGGGCTGGGACGCCCACAGCGGGTGGGAAGAGCAGGGACAATGGGCTGGGGCACCCACAGAGGGTGGGAAGAGCAGGGACAATGGGCTGAGACGCCCACAGCGGGTGGGAAGAGCAGGGACAATGGGCTGGGACGCCCACAGAGGGTGGGAAGAGCAGGGACAATGGGCTGAGACGCCCACTAGCGGGTGGGAAGAGCAGGGACAATGGGCTGAGACGCCCACAGCGGGTGGGAAGAGCAGGGACAATGGGCTGGGACGCCCACAGAGGGTGGGAAGAGCAGGGACAACGGGCTGGGACGCCCACAGCGGGTGGGAAGAGCAGGGACAACGGGCTGAGATGCCCACTAGCGGGTGGGAAGAGCAGGGACAATGGGCTGGGGCACCCACAGAGGGTGGGAAGAGCAGGGACAATGGGCTGAGACGCCCACAGCGGGTGGGAAGAGCAGGGACAATGGGCTGGGACGCCCACAGAGGGTGGGAAGAGCAGGGACAATGGGCTGAGACACCCACAGAGGGTGGGAAGAGCAGGGACAACGGGCTGGGACGCCCACAGAGGGTGGGAAGAGCAGGGACAACGGGCTGAGACGCCCACAGAGGGTGGGAAGAGCAGGGACAACGGGCTGGGACGCCCACAGAGAGTGGGAAGAGCAGGGACAACGGGCTGAGACGCCCACAGCGGGTGGGAAGAGCAGGGACAACGGGCTGAGACGCCCACAGCGGGTGGGAAGAGCAGGGACAACGGGCTGAGACGCCCACAGCGGGTGGGAAGAGCAGGGACAACGGGCTGAGACGCCCACAGCGGGTGGGAAGAGCAGGGACAACGGGCTGAGACGCCCACAGCGGGTGGGAAGAGCAGGGACAACGGGCTGAGACGCCCACAGCGGGTGGGAAGAGCAGGGACAACGGGCTGAGACGCCCACAGCGGGTGGGAAGAGCAGGGACAACGGGCTGAGACGCCCACAGAGGGTGGGAAGAGCAGGGACAACGGGCTGAGACGCCCACAGAGAGTGGGAAGAGCAGGGACAAAGGGCTGGGACGCCCACAGCGGGTGGGAAGAGCAGGGACAACGGGCTGAGACGCCCACAGCGGGTGGGAAGAGCAGGGACAACGGGCTGGGACACCCACAGAGGGTGGGAAGAGCAGGGACAACGGGCTGAGACGCCCACAGCGGGTGGGAAGAGCAGGGACAACGGGCTGAGACGCCCACAGAGGGTGGGAAGAGCAGGGACAATGGGCTGAGACGCCCACAGAGAGTGGGAAGAGCAGGGACAAAGGGCTGGGACGCCCACAGCGGGTGGGAAGAGCAGGGACAACGGGCTGAGACGCCCACAGAGAGTGGGAAGAGCAGGGACAAAGGGCTGGGACGCCCACAGCGGGTGGGAAGAGCAGGGACAACGGGCTGAGACGCCCACAGAGGGTGGGAAGAGCAGGGACAATGGGCTGAGACGCCCACAGAGGGTGGGAAGAGCAGGGACAATGGGCTGGGACGCCCACAGCGGGTGGGAAGAGCAGGGACAAAGGGCTGGGACGCCCACAGCGGGTGGGAAGAGCAGGGACAATGGGCTGGGATGCCCACAGAGAGTGGGAAGAGCAGGGACAATGGGCTGAGACGCCCACAGCGGGTGGGAAGAGCAGGGACAATGGGCTGGGACGCCCACAGAGGGTGGGAAGAGCAGGGACAATGGGCTGGGACGCCCACAGCGGGTGGGAAGAGCAGGGACAATGGGCTGAGACGCCCACAGAGGGTGGGAAGAGCAGGGACAACGGGCTGGGACGCCCACAGCGGGTGGGAAGAGCAGGGACAATGGGCTGAGACGCCCACAGAGGGTGGGAAGAGCAGGGACAACGGGCTGGGACGCCCACAGCGGGTGGGAAGAGCAGGGACAACGGGCTGAGACGCCCACAGAGGGTGGGAAGAGCAGGGACAATGGGCTGAGACGCCCACAGAGGGTGGGAAGAGCAGGGACAATGGGCTGGGACGCCCACAGAGAGTGGGAAGAGCAGGGACAATGGGCTGAGACGCCCACAGAGGGTGGGAAGAGCAGGGACAATGGGCTGGGACGCCCACAGCGGGTGGGAAGAGCAGGGACAATGGGCTGAGACGCCCACAGAGGGTGGGAAGAGCAGGGACAACGGGCTGGGACGCCCACAGCGGGTGGGAAGAGCAGGGACAAAGGGCTGGGACACCCACAGCGGGTGGGAAGAGCAGGGACAATGGGCTGGGACGCCCACAGAGAGTGGGAAGAGCAGGGACAATGGGCTGGGACGCCCACAGAGAGTGGGAAGAGCAGGGACAATGGGCTGGGACGCCCACAGCGGGTGGGAAGAGCAGGGACAATGGGCTGGGACGCCCACAGCGGGTGGGAAGAGCAGGGACAATGGGCTGGGACGCCCACAGAGAGTGGGAAGAGCAGGGACAATGGGCTGAGACGCCCACAGAGGGTGGGAAGAGCAGGGGCAATGGGCTGAGACGCCCACAGAGGGTGGGAAGAGCAGGGACAATGGGCTGAGACGCCCACAGAGGGTGGGAAGAGCAGGGACAATGGGCTGAGACGCCCACAGAGGGTGGGAAGAGCAGGGACAATGGGCTGGGACGCCCACAGCGGGTGGGAAGAGCAGGGACAACGGGCTGAGACGCCCACAGAGGGTGGGAAGAGCAGAGACAACGGGCTGAGACGCCCACAGCGGGTGGGAAGAGCAGGGACAACGGGCTGAGACGCCCACAGAGGGTGGGAAGAGCAGGGACAATGGGCTGGGACGCCCACAGCGGGTGGGAAGAGCAGGGACAATGGGCTGGGACGCCCACAGCGGGTGGGAAGAGCAGGGACAATGGGCTGAGACGCCCACAGAGGGTGGGAAGAGCAGGGACAACGGGCTGGGACGCCCACAGCGGGTGGGAAGAGCAGGGACAACGGGCTGGGACGCCCACAGCGGGTGGGAAGAGCAGGGACAATGGGCTGAGACGCCCACAGAGGGTGGGAAGAGCAGGGACAATGGGCTGGGATGCCCACAGCGGGTGGGAAGAGCAGGGACAACGGGCTGAGACGCCCACAGAGGGTGGGAAGAGCAGGGACAACGGGCTGAGACGCCCACAGAGGGTGGGAAGAGCAGGGACAATGGGCTGGGACGCCCACAGAGGGTGGGAAGAGCAGGGACAACGGGCTGGGACGCCCACAGAGGGTGGGAAGAGCAGGGACAACGGGCTGAGACGCCCACAGCAGGTGGGAAGAGCAGGGACAACGGGCTGGGACACCCACAGAGGGTGGGAAGAGCAGGGACAAAGGGCTGGGACACCCACTAGCGGGTGGGAAGAGCAGGGACAACGGGCTGAGACGCCCACAGCGGGTGGGAAGAGCAGGGACAAAGGGCTGGGACACCCACTAGCGGGTGGGAAGAGCAGGGACAAAGGGCTGGGACACCCACAGAGGGTGGGAAGAGCAGGGACAAAGGGCTGGGACACCCACTAGCGGGTGGGAAGAGCAGGGACAACGGGCTGAGACGCCCACAGCGGGTGGGAAGAGCAGGGACAAAGGGCTGGGACGCCCACAGCGGGTGGGAAGAGCAGGGACAAAGGGCTGGGACGCCCACAGCGGGTGGGAAGAGCAGGGACAACGGGCTGAGACGCCCACAGCGGGTGGGAAGAGCAGGGACAAAGGGCTGGGACACCCACTAGCGGGTGGGAAGAGCAGGGACAAAGGGCTGGGACACCCACAGCGGGTGGGAAGAGCAGGGACAATGGGCTGAGACGCCCACAGCGGGTGGGAAGAGCAGGGACAACGGGCTGGGACACCCACAGCGGGTGGGAAGAGCAGGGACAATGGGCTGAGACACCCACAGCGGGTGGGAAGAGCAGGGACAAAGGGCTGGGACACCCACAGCGGGTGGGAAGAGCAGGGACAATGGGCTGAGACGCCCACAGCGGGTGGGAAGAGCAGGGACAAAGGGCTGGGACACCCACAGCGGGTGGGAAGAGCAGGGACAATGGGTTGGGACACCCACAGCAGGTGGGAAGAGCAGGGACAGGGACAGCGCCACTGGCTACTGGTGGACAGGGGCCAGCAAGGTCAAGGGTGCAGGCTCTGGGGCTGAAGGACAGCAAGGACCCCGTTTCGACTGGCGGTAGGGGGAGGGTGGGAGGGCACCTTATGAGACAAGGTGGAAAATGAGGCCAGCAGGAAACAGGGAAGGAGGCCAGGGGTTGGTCGCAGCAGGCTGCAGGCGGCCCTGGGGGAGGGGCCCGGAGCAGCAGGCAGAGGGCCTGGGGCCTGGTGGGGAGCAGTGGTTTCCAAGGCTCTTTAAATGCAAAGACCACCACCCCATCCGCCTTATCCCTGCTGGGAGCTCAGATGCAAAGAAGCCTCTCCAAAATGTCACCATGGGAGGGGGGAACCTGCCACCGGCGTCTGCGGAAGAGAGTGTTTTCTTACAAGGAGGTGCCGGGGGCCCACTTCTGCCGGCCGCCATAGGATGGAATTTGACTTCAAGGTGATCCGCCAGCGCGCCTGTCTGGAAACCCCGCAGCCGGCTTTGAAGTCAAAGTCTCGGTTTCAATGGCTAAACAGTTTCAGATGTGACAATGTAGTTTTACGGGCTTAATAATTCCGACACATGTGCAGCTGGGGCCCAGAAAGGCTACAGCAACACTGTGCGCCAGTTCCTTCCAGGCTGTGCTTGCTATTCTGAACTTCTGGTTCTAAAGTGAAAGATTTAAGTACTATGAGACTGAGGCCCTGTGGGGAGGGGCTGGGGGGGGCTGGGTCGGGGGCAGGGGTTGGGACGGGTGGGTGGGTGGGTGGGTGGGTGGAGGGGCGGGGGGCCGGGTCAGCGGGAGGAGCAAAGGGGCTGGGAGGTGGGGGGCCGGGGGGACCGGGCAGGGGAGCCGGGCTTCCCACATAAGCCCTAGATACATTCAGACGGAGCCTCCATATCTGAGAGGCATTTGCAGATTTTGCCCATCGGTTCTTCTGGGTTTGAGAGATCTTTTAATAACCACATGTGAAATTTATACCTAGAAAAGCAGTAACTTTGGGGTCAAAAGGTCTCCTAAAATACTCAGATGTCCTCACAAGCCAGAGTTCTGCTGCGACTTAACTTCCTATAAGACCAGAAAATAGAAATGTTTCTGTCTCCCTCTTCATCCTGCCTCACAGCAGCTTTTCATCATCTGGATTGTTTAAATGGGAAAACGTGGAGGTGCCACACTACCCACGCCCCTCACTCCCTCACTACAGGGCTTTTGTGTTGGCATCCGCCCCCTCACCCAGTAAACGCCCTAAGCCCAGGGAGGGTCTCTGCAGTGCCCACCCCTGCCACGAGGGTGGACGCTCAGCCTAAGGGGACGACTGACCACACCAAGGGGTAAAGGGGCACCCAGCCCAACCCACGGGGCATCCTTACAAGTGGAAGTGAAGAGATGAGTTACAGGGACAGGCCCAGGGCTGCCCTGCCCATGAAATAAACCCCAACGTAAAACACATGCAGAAAAAAAAAAAAAAAAAAAAAGACAAGCAACACGTGGTCAGCAAGACCTGGCTTTTTGACCAGGCAGCCGAGCTTCCCTCTCCCCACGCTTGGAGAGAGGGACTCAGGGAGCACTTTACCCGCATTAACCGACGCGGATGGGAGGGGGAAGCTGTGAGCGCCACTGGGCCCACACCTTGGCTCAGGAATGGGAACCCACAGCCCTCCCAGAGTCTCCATCGTCAGCTAGGTGTGGCTGAGGCTGAGCAGGGTGACTAGGGGGTGGGGGTGGAGAGCAGGTGTCTTGAAATGAAATGTCTTCAGCTCAGGTATTAAATACAGACCTACGTACATGTGTGTGTAACCTCTATACATGTATGTATACACGTGTGTACTCACATATGTGAACACATCATACATACACCTACATATACGTGTGTGCGCCCCTGCCCAGATAATAGAGGCGTGATCATAAACTCTGCCGAAACTTTATTCCCTGCCTTCAACTCTCAGCATCCTGAAGTGCTGACACTGAATGTTAGACAACCATTTCACAACTCATCTGCAGGTCTAATTTTCTTCTCCCAGTCACGCCTGCTACTGTCTTTGTCTTCAGAGCTAACGATCCCCAATGTCACAGAAAAAGGAAAACCTTCCAAATTCAGCTGCCACCCTCAGCTTACCATCCAGAGCGCAGAACACACAAAATAAAACCACGACTCGGGCCCTGAACTTCCGAACTGCTGCACCCTCAACCGCCCCACTCAGAGGAGGCTGAATTCCACTGGGATTGAAAGCAGACCCGAATCCACTTCTCTTCTATCTGAATTCTTCCCCGGGAAAAACCCACCGGACGTTTTTGTTTTCTTTCATTCATATTAAAGCCTCATGTTTCCTATTTCAAAGGAAGATTAATTCCAAAGCTGGAAAGAACCCTGCCGCGTTTCAGGGTTTTCTTTTTTCTAATTTGGAAGACACCATATGTGAACATGCAACGTCGATGTCCTTACCAAAGAGAAACAGCGGAAAATGCTGGTTGAGGGGCTTATATTTGATTACAGCTCCAGACCCTGGGGACTGAGCTACTCAAACAAGTAATCAAGGCCTTTTCTTTCTCTAAAGCACCCCCGTCGCATGCCCTGCACGCGACAATCTCAGAACCTCCACGAGGGCCCTGCTGTGGCTGGCGAGAGGCTCCACGAGATGAAAGGAGGGCCCAGTGGCCACCTGCGGCTTTGCTATTGGCCGAGGCTGCAGAGGGCTCTAGGGGGCAGGGGCTATGCCTGGCGGCTGCCGTCCACACAAGCCACAGCCCACTCTCAGGGGAGAGCGGTGAGAACCCCCGCGTGAGAGGTAAAAATTGTTCAGAGAAGACCACGCGCATCTTTGTTACGGGACACACAATCTCGTCTCAGGAAGGGCACCGGATCCAAGGCCTGGAGGCTGCAGGGTTCTCGGGATGAGCTCTGAGCCGCACACAAAGACACCCTTACAGCACGTCTTGGGGTCACTCCAACCGCAAAAGAGGAGCAGCTGGCACAGGGGTGCCTATAGTGGGTATAATTGGCAGGGGAGGTGCAGGCAGCCAGGACCACCGCCCCGGTCACTAGAGCTAGAGGCAATCACAGCCCCGCCACAGGGATAGCGGGAAGGTGACGCTCTGGCCTGGTCGCTATGCCCTTTGACCCAGGACTCACCAACAGGGCTCTGAGTCTCCCAGACTGGGCTGTGGACAGAGGCGTGACGTCCCCACCTGCTGCTCCCCTAGATGCCCCAAAGCAGGGATGGTGCTCTCTGCCCTTTCGGAGGCCAAGGATGTTCCTCCCTGTGGGCCCAGCTTGTGACACTCTCTCCCCACGACAGGCAAACAGACCCCGAGAATGGGCCTCTGGGGCGGCTTCCCCTGGGCACAGCTAGGTGGTTGGCATGGGCAGGGCTCCCCTCATACACAAGATGCCTCCAAGCAAGGCCTGGCAGGGTCCTGACCACCGGCCAGAAGCATCCAGGCCACCTCTGTGCTCCGGCCTTGGGCCTTTCTGCTGGGCTCGGCTCAGCCTGTGGGCAGCTGCCAGTTCTTGCCACCTCTCCCTGTCACCCTGGGGACAAGGGGGCTGGGCGTCACCATCTGAGCACAAGCCCCTGAGTCGCCCTGACTGTGACCAGTCTCTCCCCCCAACACACGTGAGCCCGCTGCCACCTAAAACATGTCTCAGGCCTAGAAAAGCTCATGAAATACCCGCAAGCACCTTCCCCAGGCCCATGTCCGCTTTGTTTTACAGAAAACCTAAATCGCTTTCAACAAATCAATGGGAGGAGAGGAAGGGCCAGAAGCCCCTGCTAGTGGTCCCACCTGCTCCACAGATGTGAGGATGGGGCTCGGAGCCCGAGGAACATGGCTTGCAGGGTGGGTGGGGTCTTCCACCCCAAAGTGTCACCCGAGGGTCATCCGGCAGGTCTGCAGCTGTGGTGCTCCTCACAGACACCAGGTCTGGCCTCCCACAGCACAGAGACCAGTGCACATCTGTAGGCTGTGCCCGTGGCTCCTTCTGGCAGAGGGAGATGGGTGGGGGCCGCCATTCTTCTTCCTCCGCTGTGTCTCTCGCAGCCCCTGCCTGCTACCGTCCCGTCCTCCAGGCCTACTCCTGCCTCAGGGCCTTTGCAGTGGCTGCCCAGCCTGGAAGCCTCTGGGGGGCCACGCTTCCTCCATGCCTCCTCACCACACACTGTCCTGACACCCACATCAAGTGGCAGCCCCCGCCCCTGCCTGGCCTGTCCCACACCCCAGCACCACAGGCCCTGCACCCCAGCTCGGCCTCTCTCACACCCCAGCACCACGGGCCCTGTACCCCTGCCTGGCCTCTCCCACACTCCAGCCCAGCATCTCTCACACCCCAGCACCACAGGCCTGCACCCATGCCCGGCCTCACCCGCACCCCAGCACCCAGAGCCCTCCAGGCCTGCCTTCCAGCAGCCACTGTCCGGTTCTCCCAGCATCCAGAAAGCAGCTCAGGCCCTGGGGCTGCAGGGCGGCCCCGTGGTGGGGGGCTGTGGGCTCTGGGAGGGACTTCTGGTTTGGGGTCCTGGCTCCGGGACTCAGCCCTTCTGTTTTTGTTTCCTCCTTTTGAGGCGGTGCCCAGGACAAGCCTGTGACAAACAGAGGTGCAGGTCCTGCTCTGTCCAGCAGCACAAGGCAAAGACAGCCCTGGAATCCCACGGCTGGAAGCCTACAGCAACGTTCTTTCGTGTTACACCACAGCCCTCAGGAGCAAAATCAGGGCCACTGAAATGGCCCCTGCTCCAGCTCTGTCTGGGGCTGGCTGGTCTCAGACATGAGTGGCTGCCCTGAAGGGTGCAGGGCACACGGACCTGGCCACTGGCCTGGCACGCCCTCGGGACAGTTGAGCTGGGTGCACCTGGGCAGCCAAGAGAGCAGGCGGTGATGGTGGGCAGAGGGACATGGGGTCCCTCTGAGGACCCCAGGACGCTGAGGCCCAGACGCCAGCCACAGAGAGCCAAGCTACCCACGTCCCCGGGGCAGCAGGGAGGCCACCAGGGGCAGCAGCTTTGCACCATGTCCAGGCACGTCCTGGTGAGAAGTAGGATAGGGTCGGCTCTGCTATCCTTTGTGGGAACGAGGATGAGGTCGGCTCTGTTATCCTTTGTGGGAAGGACGAGGATGAGGTTGGCTCTGTTATCCTTTGTGGGAAGGAGGATGGGGTCGGCTCTGTTATCCTTTGTGGGAAGGAGGATGGGGTCTGCTCTGTTATCCTTTGTGGGAAGGAGGGTGAGGTCAGCTCTGTTATCCTTTGTGGAAAGGAGGATGGGGTCGGCTCTGTTATCCTTTGGGGAAACGAGGATGAGGTCGGCTCTGTTATCCTTTGTGGAAAGGAGGATGGGGTAGGCTCTGTTATCCAAAAACAGCTGCTGTAGCTCTTGTCACGTCCCCCTTAGCGGATGTGAGAGGCCTCGTCCTGGAAGTACATCCACGCAGGACCACGGCCTTAAGGGCAGGTGGGAGCCCTGGAGGGTCCTGCCAGCTACCGACGTGAGTGCCTCACGGAGAACCTCACTGGAGACAGCAAGGAGGGACCCCCGTTTCCATCGGCCTCTGGCAAGGCTCTCAGTCTAAATCCGCCAAGACACTTACCATTAAAATAATCTCCAATTTGAATGTTTGTATTACAATATTTCGTGCTTTTTAGCTTCTCTGATTTTGGTGCGCAAAACTATTTACGATTTCCTTGGAAAATTCTGCAGAACAAAAGGAAAACAAACCCTCCCCCTCCAGCTGCCAAGGGCTGGCCATCACCACCAGTGAATTCCAGCTCTGCGCAGGACAGGATCGAACAGACCCAATTTGTTTCACGCCAGCGTGAAAGGCTGCCAAAGGGTGCCCTGCCAAGTATTTGCCAACATGAAAGCAGATTAAAGCTCCCATCAGCCAGCATGGGTGCAGCTCGCCGTGAGAGCGGATCGGGGTCTCTGCAAGGCTCCTGTCCCAGCAGGTCCAGGCTTCGCAGTCCAGAGGCGGCAGCCAGGTCAGCACCGTGTGTCCCTCCAGGCCAGCACCACGAGCTCCGCCCCACGCTGGGGAAGTGTCCGGTGTGGGGGGGGATCCTGCTACCTGGGCAGACCCCTCTCACACACCGCGCCTTCTGCTCCCCATGGTTCCGGCGTTAACCCAGCAGCCCCACAGGAAGGGCTCCTTCCGCACCTCCAGGGACAGCTGACGGTCATGATCTGTGACAGACGACGGCTCAGAAGGTGGCAGAGACTGAAAGCTCTGGAGCCCTTGGAACTGATTAGGGGTCCTGGGCTCGGGACCCCTCCCCATGTTCAGGAAGGCAAGTCCAACAGGAGAGGGGCCACGGCTGGTAAGACCTGTGAGAGGACGGAGCCACAGGAACCCTCCAGCATGAATGCCCCAGGACGCAGCACAGGCCCCCTCGGGTTCCACACATGGACAGGCCGATCTGCAGTCCTGCTGGGAGCAGCCCACCCTGAAATGCTGGCGGCAGCATGTGCGGGCAGGACCGCCTCTAAATGCTGACCTCACCCCAGCAGTGGCTCCTGCTTCCTCCTGCTTCCTGATGCTCCTGAGGCTTCCCCAACTCCCTAGGGGTGTCATAGGCCTTTCGTCATAACCCAGGGAGTTTCTGATGCAGGCATCTGTCTGAGAGCCCTGCAGGAAGGACATAGGGCTCAGCCTTCAGAGCTCCAGGGACCCAGTGATCTGGCAGGTAGCTGTCTACAAATTCTGGGGTAGGCTGGGCAACTCCAAATTCAGGTGTGTCTGGCTTCAAGAACTACCGCTTCCGTAAAGTGTGGCTTTGCCAACTCAAGAACAGCAGCCAGGAGGCCAGAGGCTTCCTCTCTACAGGAAGGACGGTGGACCCCACTCCCACCCACTGGCCTCTGCTCCCACCACACCTGGCCACGCCAGGGAGGCTGTGGGCACTGCCAACCAGTGAGAGCTTGCTGACAGCTCAGATGACTGTGCAGTACGAATCAGGCCCACAGCATCTTGGCACAAGCTCACGGACTCACGCACCCCTCTGGCTTGCAGCACCCCGGCACTTGGGGCAAAAGGCCAGGAAGGGGCCCGGCCACACCTGGCTGCTCTCCAGGTGGCCCTCGCTGCCTGGCCTTATGGAGCGTGGAGCTGTCCCTTTTGTCTTTCCTCACAGGACCACAAGGGGAAGCAGGTGGCCCAGGCACGAGGGATGTGGCCAGGCTGTGAGTGGCAGCACCGGGTCCGAAGCCGGGTCCAGAGGCTGTCAAGCCACCATGCAAGCCGCCTCTGCTAACGATGGGATGACAGAAACCTGGTGCTGGCGAGGGGGCCACACGTAACACGGCCATATGGTGGCTCCCAACTATGGTCTTTGACTAGGACTTCATTCACAGCCTCTGTCGGGGCTGACCAAGTGGGTATCCCTTGGCCGCAAAGCGGGGGTGGAGGACAGGAGCCCTTGGCCCAGACTCCTGGCTTCCTGAGAAATAGAAAGAGCCGAACCCCCAACCCTAGCCTAGACAGGACAGTGGCAAGGTGTGTGTTTCCCCCAGTCGGGGCCTGGACCTGGGGTGGCCATGGACTTACTGCCAGCTCTGAACAAGCGGTGCCCACCCAGGGGCAAAGGAGAGCCAGCCACTCCTACAAGGCAGATGAAACTGCATTTCCAATCTCACCATCACCTTGCTGCTCACACGGGAGGCATGCACAGCAGGGGCCCAGGGCACCGAAGGGCACTCGTGGATGGGTACTCGAGACGGCCCTGCCCTTTCTGGCACAACTGCCTTGGCCGGCACCAGCCACAGTTCCCGCGGCTCCCAGGAGTCGCGTGTGCGTCTGATGGACCCCCAACACCCTAATGCAGGCATACGGCGGCCCAAAGCTGCAGGGCTGATGATTGGTTTCCGAGGATTGCAAACCAGCCTGGGTTTTTTAAGAAAAGGAAAGATGTAAGCTCTTTAGCCAAAACAAGATGAAAACCTCAAAGGAATTCAAATTACTCAGCCACAAGTAGGAAGGAAGGAGGACGGAGCAGCACCAGGCTTCCCATGGTGGTTCAGCCCACTGAGGAGAACAGGGTGCAGCCACCTGTCTTCTTTCACCTGCAGAAATCTAAAACTTCAGCTCATTCAGCAGCAAAATGGGCAGTTTTAGCTTCAGGAAGCTGTTTTGGAAGTCCAGGGGTGACAGCTGCCCCAGATGGCCTCGTCTGTGAAACCCCCAACTCTAGCCCAAGGCCCTGTGGCAGGGACGCTCTGTGCTCCAGGGCCTCCATCCAGACACCTGCCTGGTCCATGTGCAGGGCTTCTCAGGATGCACTTCACAGACACAGGGGCCGACACTGAGAATGCACATCTGCACTGTCCAGGTACAGTGACCCGAGCGGGCAGGACCACGCCACTGGCCAGCCTCCGGCCTCCACCATGGGCAACACAGATCCACTGGCCCAACCTCATGGCCAGGCACCGGCAGCAGCCTCTCCCAGTCAGCACGCTCTCCCAGTCAGCACCCCAGAGCCCCTGCTGCAGGACAGGGGATGCCTGCGGCTTGGTGGAGAGCTTGGGCGCACACACAGCCCTCAGTGGGCCCAAGGCCCAGGCTGGCACAGAAACTACATACATGGTATCCAACCCGTCCTATGGCTCTCAGGTGCTGGGCATCAGGTGTCATGCCCAGAGGTGACCTCGACGCCTCCCACAAGGGGGGATGACCAGGTGGCCTGGCAACTCCCTTCGGTTCCCTCTGTGCCTGAGCCTCTGTGCATGTCTGTGCTGGCCTCGCCACATGGCTGGGCCACATCCCAGGGTAGGAACACGGCTGCCTGTATCCAAGGGCCAGGCACACAGAGGGCACCAAAAAGAAAGCAAAGGGCAGCCATGACACACTGCAGCTGCCGCCGGCTCTGACACAAAGCCCCACATGGGCCTCAGCTCCATGAGGACACAGGGTCCCGGAACATGAGTCACAGAAGACAGAAGGTTGGCCCTCAGAGTCTGTGCTGGAGGCATCCCCAGGCACCCCTGCTCCCTTTGGAAGCTGCCATTCTCCTGGACATCTTGGAGTGGCTTGCACCCCCAAATGCAGAGCTGGGTGGACTGGGCACCCACAACCTCTCCTTCTGTGTGGCACGTGGCCGAGCACCAAGCAGAGTATGGTCCACACTGCCTTGTCTCTGGGCGCACGTGCACTGGCCCGAGTCTCTCCTGCAAATGTGTATCTTGCCCCCACCCTGCATCTCTGTGTTGATGCGGTAGCGTCCAGACTGTGCTTGAAGCCATGAAGAATTTTCCAGGATCTTCTACAAGAAACTGCTCCCACTGACCAAGAACTGGGCATCCCACTGCCACATCCAGCTCTCTGGACCCACAGAGGACAGGTGAGCGCTGGCTCCTGGGTGGCCAGGAGGGGCAGGGAAGGGGCAGGGAAGGGGCAGCCCCACCCCTGCCTCTGGGGGAAGGCCAGCTGCAGGCATATGAGCCTCTGGGGCACTGTGGCTGGTTCCAGTCGGAAGGCGTCAAGCCATGTAGTGGGGCTGAGCCCAGTTCCCGTGAGCAAGGCCATGCTGAGGGCAGATGGAGTTTGCTGCTGGAAGCCAGAGGCCAGTGCAGGTGAAGGCCTGGGCCCTGGCCTGGAGCTCAGCCCTGGACAGAGCCAGCAGGTCTTACGACTGTGGTCCTCCTGGCTCCCTTCCAGGAAACATGTACCATGTTGGCACACTCAGAAGGGCCGTGGCATGGGGATGGGACTGGCGAGTGCCTCCTGTAAGCTGGGACCTGCCCTAGACGGGCCACTCAGAGCCGTGCCTGCTGCCTCCTGCAGATGTGGGCAAGAGCCCCCCGTGCAGGCCAGGGCCACGGCCTCCTCCACGCACTGGCTGGTCTGTCACGAGTGTTCGCTACAATGCTGCCTCTGGAGTTAGCCCCAGCGCACCCTTCCTCAGCACTACTTCATGGAAGCCTGTGCTCCATTCACAACAACATTCCAGTTAACAGTGACTCTTGTCTTCAGAACCATTTTCCGCCAGCCTCAGGGAGCGCTGTAGAAATTAAAGCTAGTCTCGCAGACCAGATGGTGAGGGTGAGTGTGCAGGGGCAGCCTGTTCCCAGGCCTGAAGCCATCCTCCCTGCAGTCACTACCACTTGGAAAAACAGCCACACAAGTGCACTGCCACCATGGCACCACTCCTCACCCACGCACATCCCCAGGGACTCCGGATCCCTCACAATCCACTCTCCAGACCTTCACGGCACCGTCACCAGTGATCCCATGGCCCTAGCCCTTCAGGGACACTCGGTGATGAAGCCGTGCGGGTCCCGCCAAAAGCAAAGTGTGGCGCTCCGCAGAGTCGCCAGGGAGAGCCACGTCGGGGGTGCAGAGACACACCTGTCTGGGAAAGTGCTGCTGTTGGTGTTTTCAGACACGTACAGAGGCAGGAGCCAGCATTGCTCACAGGGAATTAATAATAGCCAATCTCATTTGTGTTATTTTGGGGGCTGGGGAGAGAGGGTAGGTCGGAGGTCTTGGCTCTTAGTGCGCCCAATCTCCACAGGGTTCTCTGCCACCGTTCTGTGGCACCCAGGATGCCTCGCACGGAACCAGGAGGTGGACTTTGGAGAAGGGAAGGAGTGAGTCCCCTCGCTGGCCCCAGCCAGGCATCACAAGGGGTGCCCTGGGTGACCCAGGACTGGCCCTCCTCAGTGGATACCACCTGGGAGGACAAGGACGATGGGCGAGGCTCTGGACAACACAAAAGAAGAAGGTGAGAGCCAGAGGGACACTTCGCTGTGGTGGCCTGCGACTCTCCTGGACGTCAGTAGGATCTGTCGCAGGGGGAACAGCTGCCAGGTGAGAGGAACAGCAATGTGGCAGGGAGGGCACTTGGCCAGGTGAGGGCGCACCTGGGCCCTGGGGTCTCCATGCCAGGTGGGAGGAGTCATGGCCAGAGGCGGAAAATACAGAAAGGCAGCACTTTTGTCTGAAAGCTGAAATGTATTTAATTCACAGGACAGCCTTTGATTCTGAGTTTGTTCATTTTAACTTAGAAAGGAGTTTTCTTTCATGAAATGATGGCAAAATTAGAAGGTAACAATCCAAGCAAGCCCCAATTCCCAAGCTATTCTCTAAAGAAAATGTCCCAGTGTAGAGTGGCAGGTCTAAACGCCCACGAGCAGCCCTCACGCTGACATCGTAGTCACATGAGGAGCACCTGCATTTTCCAGAGCGCACTGGCCTTGCCCCATGGCCCTGGGAGCTGCACTTCATGGTGAGGGCGCTGGCTCAGGGATTTTAAGGTTCATGGTGCAGCGCCTCCCAGGGAGAAGGCTCCAGGCCAGTGGGCCAATGGACAGGGGCCGGCCAAAGCCCTGACCACGAGAGAGGTGAACGCCCGCCCACCCCAGGTGCTCACATCACTGACTAATCATACCAGGAGCACCTGGCTGCTAAGTGGCACCATCCACTCACCAGCAAGCCCCTGTGCAAATGTAACTGGCAGAGAGAGCCAGATTGGGGCGGGGACAGCTCCCTGGATGACCTCACCCTGGTCTCCCTGTCCCGGATAGAGGCTCACAGGACCACCCAACTTACTGTACCTTACAGCGTGCTTCCCACCATCACAGGCGTTAGATGGTCACTCTCAGGAAGCACCAATCCTAACTCTATTGCATGTTAATTTCCAAGCAGACCTAAGCCCCTTCTCAAGACAGAGCTGCAGAAAATGTCTCCAAACACACCCAGAACTTTTTTTAATCAACTGCCAGAACAATGTCTTTCCAAAAAGGAAACTGATTGCGTGACCCGGCATGTTCTGTGTCTGGGGACCTCTGGGGACAGTGGGGGAGGAAGCAAGGGGCAAGTGTGGGCCTGGCCACCTGGTGGGGCTGTCTGCACCGATACAGTTCACACTGACACTGATGACCATCAAATGTTAGCTTTCTCACGCTCAGCAAACATGCAGGTCTAATTTACCCCAGGCCCTTCCAGGGCCCCAGACCTGGACAGTTCTCTGCTCCTGGACATAGCACCTTCCTCACCCACCCTCAGGGCCGCCTGGCTCTTGAGCCAGCCTTGCAGTCTCTGCAGCCTTGCCACAGCTGTGCAGATGTCCCTCTGTCTCCTGAGCCTCTAGCAGGCCTGTGGTCACCCCTCCCAGAGATGGGAGGCACCGAGGCCTCTGACTCTGGCCATGTTTGCTGATTGAGCACTGAGGCTATGACCAGTGATGCCCCAGGTCTGTAGCTCCCACCCCTCCTCCAACTCCTCCAGCTCATCCAGCCGGGGTACTGCATTCCCGCTCCCCGGGACCCCCAGCCCGGGACGTCTAGGTCCAGCCCCTCCCACTCGCCCAGCTCCTCCAGCCCGAAACATGGAGCCCCCACACGGCTCCCAGCCTAGGACAAGGAATTCCGATTCCCCTACCCGCCACTCAGCATGGGACACTAGCAAGGGCTCGCCCCACGGGAGCCCCAGACGTCGTGGAGGCTGGGGAGAGACTGGCTCTCCTGGCCCCCGGTCACTCGTGCGGCCATGGCGGCCCACGTCTCGCCTGTCCGCGGGCGGGCACCAGGAACAGCTCTGACACCGCTCCCCGCCCCCGGGCGGGTGCGCAGCGCGACCCCAGCCTCCGCCCCGCCGCCTACCTGCTTGTCCCGCGCGCGCCGCTCCGCTTCCTCCGCGCCTTTGCGGCCGCTCGCGTACGCGGACGCCACGAAGCTGTCCCCTGCGGTCCGGGGGCGGACGCGCGGGAAACCCGCACCGAGGAGGGAAAGAGACGCGCCGTGAGCCCCGCGGGCGCTGCGCCTTCGCTGTGTCCCCATCGCCTGGAGACCGCGCAGGGGCAGGCGTGGGGGTCCCGCGCGCTCCTGGAGACCCGCGGCCCCGTCCCCCCACTGCTGGCTCCAGGGCAGGACGCGCGCGGGCTCCTAGCTCTGAGGGTCCCGGGCCGGGTCGCCGCCCCCCGCCCCGCCCGTCGGCTCGCCCGCTCACCTTCCGGGCTCTCTCTCCGCTTGCGGGCGGCGGCGGCTGCGGCACGGCGGGACGCGGGGAGAGGAAAACGACAGTGAGAGGCGGCCCCACGCCCGCCCGCCCGCCCTCCCGCCCTACCGGCCCGCGGCTCACCGTGCTTCGACTGCAGTTTCCCCATCGCCGCCGCCACGCCCCGCCGGGCCCCGCGCTCAGGTGCAGGGCTGAGTTCTGAAGCCGGGGCCGGGAGCCCGCGGGGGCCGCATGGGCCGGGAGCAAGCTAGGGTGCCGGTAGGAGGTGAGGGAAGATGGCTCCACGCCGCGCGGGGGCCGGGGGAGCCAGGGGGCGCCAGGTACGGCCGCGGGGCGGAGGTGGGGGGCCACCGGGCGCAGGGCGCGGGGACAGCGGCGGCAGCGACGGCGGCCCGGCTCCCTCTGAGCGCGTGCGCCCGCGCCGGGGCTTTAACCGCGGCCCCCGCAGCGCCCCCGGCGGCCGCTGCCCGCAGCGCATCGGCCTCGACCCCCGTTCCCAGCCTGGAGCCCCACCAGCGATGAGGACCCGGCCCGGCCACCTGTGGGGGCGGTCAGGTGCTGCAGCGGAGCCTGGCGGGAGTCAGCTCCGACCCCTCACCAGGCCGTCCTGGGTCAAGGGATCCCCAATTCCAGAGGAGCCTGAGGGCACCTCCCTTTGAAAGGGAGGACCCGCCTCCCTTGGCTGCTGGAGAGGGGGTGGGGGTGTGGGCAGCCCAAAGGGGGGTGGTATCCGGCAGGACTAGATCCCCGCCCTCTCCTGGCGCTCCAAATTGATGAAGAACCAGCGTTGGCCCCCCCCGGCCCCGGCTGGAAGGGCCCTGCACCCCCTCACTTTGTCCTTGGTTTGAGCAGGGTCTCCTCCGACCTGTGCCTTGAGGGTGTTGGAGCCTCCCAGGAGCCCCAAGCCTGGCCACCTGCGCTGCCTCCTCCACGTGTCCAACTCAGTGGCTTCAGCTGCTACCTCCCTGGCCTCATCTCAAGCTCCTCCAGCTGGCTCTGGAGACCCGTCCCTCAGTACCCTTCACTGGACCCCCTCTCTGCCTCCTACCCTGCTGGGTACCTCAGGGCTCTCTTCCTTATTTACCTTCAGAGGAACCTTCTTCCCTCACTTCCTCCTGGAACCCTAACTTGCTCCTGTTTCTGGGACATTTCTCCCTTCCCTACCCATGACTCTCCTCCCTGCCACGCCCTGTTGCATTGATACATTGTATCTCCCCAGCCTTTCAAGAGCTAGCTCAGCATTTTCCCCACGGGCTGTTGCCACGCCCACGTCTCCAACCTCAGTGGGTGACCCCACCTTCTGCCAGGGCAGCTCCCGTCCCTGGAGTTGGAGCTCCGAGGCTGGCGGTGCGGGACCCCTCACCTGCCCAGCTCCGGCCCTGCCAGGCCTCCGCTAAGCTGGCCCAGGTCCCACCCGGTCTCTCTGTTCCCACTCCCCTGGCTGGAGCCCTGTCTCACAGCTGAGCAGCGCAGCTCCGCGGCTGCCCAGTGCTGACTTGCACCTCTGGAGCTGACGTCCAGCCAAGCCCTTTCACTCCAATTACTGCCTCCCATTCTCAGACCATCCTCGGGGCAGATGCCGCCATCACACGATTTTACAGAGGCCTAGGCTGCTCAGTGGCAAAACGGAAAGTTAAACCAGAGGCCCGCCCCCCACCCCAGCAGCCTCCCCTGCTGGCTGTCCGCAGATACATGAGCTGTGGGCGAGCACATGAACAAGGGCACACGGACCCTCCTGGGAGTAGTCTTGCCTGCGAGCCATTCCCACCATCCTCTGAAGAACCCTAGTGGAGGGGCCACTTCCTGCAGGCAGACAGCTCTGGCACCTGGTAGCAGGGTTGCACCCGGCCAGGCCGTGCCTGCGATGGGCTCAGAGCGCCCTTGTGTATAGCGTCCAGGCGTCCAGATTCAGGGCCAGGGCCACCCTCCCAGGCTCTTTCGGCCCCTCCTCTCTCCCTTGCGCTACCCCAAGTGGACTTTAACTCCCAATTTGGAAGGTAACAATGCCATCTTCTGTGGTCTCAGGGTCCTAGTGAGTGTGTGAGGATGATAGTGTTACATGTTATGCAAAGTAGCACAGCCTGAGGATTGCAGCCCTTCCCGTGCCTCTAAATCCTGCCCTTACATGAGGACCGATGAGCCACCCTGGGTGAAGATCTGCTGGTGGGCTCGTGTCCCCTGTGTGGCTGGGAGCCTTGCCTCACACATGCATGGGCCCTCCTCCCAAGACCCCGAGAAGGTCCCACTGGGGGAGGTTGGCTGAGGTGCCCCAGCCAGGTGGGGAAGGGCCATTGTGTTTCACTCCTCTGCTGACTGAGCTCTGGTCCTTGCTAAATGCAGATGTCAGGAGGTCTGGGGGAGGAAGTGTCCTGGGAGGACAGGTGGAGGTGGGGGGTGGGGGCGGGCCATGGCACCAACCCCACACCCTACAGGGTGCCCAAGCTGGAGGAGCCCATGAGGCTGGGCCTGCACTGGCTGCCGTGCCCTCGCACCCACCTTGTCACTTGGAACTAGGCACATGCAGAGTCCAAACAGCAGAAACTCCCCATGCACTCCAGTGAACCTGAGTTACTAGGCAAAGGTTTTACATTTATTCTTTAGCAGCTTTATTGAGATACATACAATTCAGGGGCCCTACAATTCACCCATGAAAGTACAGACCATCTCCATCCATCCCAGGCGGGACGCCGCCAGCACACAAGGCGCACAGCTTGACCCTCAGCCCCACTGACTGGCAGATCAGGGCTGTGTGTCCTCCTCCCACTGGGCTCAGACAGTGTCCTGGGAGTCCTCTGAGGTAGAGGAATGGGATCCCCCAGGGCTCCTCTGAGTGGGAGCTGGAGAGTGAGAGCAGCCGATTCACCCATTCCTTCCCAGAGGGTCCGGAGTTCCCACCCAGCAGGACACGCCTGACCCTCACCTCGCGTGTCCTCAGGGCATTCCCCCGGGTGGATCCGCAGTGGGGGTTAGGGGCACTGCAGAGCTGAATCTGTACCCCACTGTCAGCTCAAAGGGCAACCCTAAGTGGCCCCTACGCCTCCAATGCCCACTGGACTCTTTCCCCTATGACCATCTCTCCTGGGTAGGGCAGAGCCGGCCTGGGGTTGTTCTAGAGCTGGAGTCACCAGCTCCAGGCCCTGCAAACCTGACCCCCATGCCAGTTCACAATCCCTTTGCATAACATGTAACACTATTATCCTCACACACTCACTAGGACCCTGAGACCACAGAAGATGACATCATTACTTTCCAAATTGGGAGTTAAAGTCCACATGGGGTAGTGCAAGGGAGAGCCCCTTGAGATGTCTGCATCACAGAGCGGCCTGGTCCCCTCAGCCATTCCAGGAGGAAGGGGTTCTCTTTGCTCCCCTTGACGTTCCCTTCTGGCGTGTGCATGCCTTTGCCCTCTGCGGGGCCAGTGGGCACCCACCATGCTTTCCCGGTGCTGCCTCAGTGGTGGCTGCCGCGAGATGCCCATCTACTTTTCGTGGAGGCCTCGGGACCAGTGTGGTTTGCTGGACGCTCTCCTCACGTGATGCCAGCCCGGCGTGTCCTCTCCTGGGCCCGTCTGTGGGGCAGCCCCCTGCCTGCCTCTTCCAGGGGCCCTGCAGGGACTTCCAGGTTCCTCAGGCCCGTCCTGCCTCGCCTTTCGCTCTGCGTCTGCCCGGGGCAGCCCGAGCTGGGACCTTCTGGCGGGAGCCGCAGCTTTTCAGGGCAACTGTCCTTGTCCCTGGGGGACGGCCAGTGTACGCGGGGACACTTGCGGCCCCAGCCCACTGCCGGCCTGGAGGAAAGGACGCGGGGGACCCCCATACGTGACCAGCGGCTGCAGCGCAGCTCGGGCTCACAGCGGGGCGGCCGGAGCAGCCTGGACCCCCGACGCCCGCGCCGTCCAGTCCGGGGACTCGGAGGCTGAGCCCGTAGGGGGCCGGCCCGGGGGCCATGGGCGTCCCCGCCCTGCCTTTTGCTGGGCCACGGAGCTTTGAGGACAGTTTCGCCTGCTGATAAAATCCGTTCCCAGCACTTTCGAAAGGCAGGGCGGGGCTCAAGCCGTCCCTGGAGGTTAAAATGCGCGTCCTCGCAGCTTTTCAAATCAGCCTCTCCTTATCTCCTCAGCCGCGGGCGGGGCAGGGGCCTGGTCTCCGGATGGAGGAGGAGGTGCGGCCGCAGGACGCCCAGCGGGGAGACCCGGGGAGACCCGGCCGGCGTCCGCCTCCGCTCCCGGCACGGCCGCCCGCGCCCGCCCTTCTCTGCCCCAGCCCGGGACCGGCAGGGTCAGAAGCGGGCGGCGGCGGGCGCGGGGCTCTGTCCTCCCGGCCCCTCCACCTCAGCGGGCGCAGCCGTGGGGTCCCCACCAACAGCGTTCGTGGGGGCAGCGCGGGCCCCGTCTCCCCCCGTGGCTATTCTCCCCGCGAGGCCTTGGCGCTCGTGCGGCCTTGGGAGCAAGAGCGCCCCCGCGCGCTCCTCACTCGGCTTGGGACACGCTCGTGAACTCTCGGCGGCGTCACCCTCTTCCACCGCGACTCCGCGTTCTGGGAGGCGGGGCTCATCCTGTTTTGTGGTTGTCACGGTGGCCACGGCTCCTCCCCTCCCGTTTAGAAAGCGGCGAGGTCGGGGTCCGCCGTGTGAGGGGGCGTCCGCCATGTGAAGGGGCGTCGAGGCATGTCCGCTGTGTGAGGGGGTGTCCGCGGCGTGAGGGGCGTCCCTGTGTGAGGGGCGTCCCTGTGTGAGAGGCGTCCGCGGAGTGAGGGGCGTCCCTGTGTGCGGAGGCCTCCGTGGCATGAGGGGCATCCGCTGTGTGAGGGGCGTCCCCTGTGTGAGGGGCGTCCGCGGTGTGACCTCACGGTGTGGCGTGCCTGGAAGGCATGGTGTAGCCAACTCTGACCCCGGGGTCAGGGGCCTCTTTTGAAGACACTGTCTTGGCCCCAGGCTGTGGCTGGAGTTGAAATAGGCGCATGCGCGGAGCCGGCACACACACACACACACACACACACACACACACACACACACCCACGTCCCCTTCAGTGCCCGGCTTTTTCCCCATAGTGCGAGCAAAGCCGTGAGCCTCGCGACCCGAAGTAGCCGGCAAGACTGAAATTCACACACGGGTTGGTCTCCACCGGAGCCCTGGGGACGTCTAAGAAAAGCACTGCCTGACATCGGACAAAACGCTACTGTGACGCGTCACACGGAGCCTGCCGGGACATTTCCCCTCCCTGCCCATGCCGCGTTGGCCCTGGCGGATTGGCCCCACGAGGGAGGATGGCGACTCCGGGTCTGGATGTGTGCTCCCCTTGCGTGCTCTTCGCTTTGCAAATGGATCCCTACGTTTTTAAGTGCACAAGATCCCCTGGGTGTCGCCTGCACACCGCCCCCGAGGCCGCCCTTGTTTGAGTCCACCTCTCCTTGGCTGTGCAGCGTCCGCCAGCCATGCTGACCCCTGAAGCCTTGGCTGTGCCTCCCAAGTGCACCGGGTTTCCCTGCAGACACACGCTTTGGCATGAACATGCCTTCTTAGGCATGAACAAGAAGTTCACGTGGCTGCCACACCCAAGTGCCTTGCATTTCGCCTGCTCCCCGCACCCCCCCCAACCATGTTGCCACACGAGGCTTATTCTGAATTACAGGTTGGTTGTGATATCACCTCTGGTACATGGACTGTTAAAACTATTGAAAGGGAGGTGGATCTGAAGCACGCCTACCTGTTTCCTGGCATACTTGGAACGTTGCCAGACCACTGGATACTTAGAAGGCTAATTCTACATTTATCCTCAGCCATCATTCTGAGCGCCTTCAAAAGATGAATCATCTGCACCGACTATTAAATTTAATAACCATGCACTTCTCCAGGGAAATTGCCTCAAAGGGACCCACAACTGGCCACGATTCATGGTTGAGGAAACACCTCTTCCAGTTTCAGGTAAATATTTGTGCAAATCTTTCAGGCAATTTGTGATTAGAGACCTAGAAGGAAAAAACCCACCCAAGTCAGAAAATGGTTTTCCAAAGGTGTTCTGGGCATACTTTTGTATGCACTTGTTTTTTGGGTTTTACTGGTTTTTATTGCAATCAAAGTAAGTTCAGTAAAAGGGCCTTGCAAGCTGGGCAGCGAGGGCAAGTAGAAGGCATGATTCGTGGGCAGCAGAGAAGCCCTGGGCTCCTGGCTTCTCAGTT
This sequence comes from Homo sapiens, assembly GCF_000001405.40. NCBI lineage: Eukaryota > Metazoa > Chordata > Mammalia > Primates > Hominidae > Homo > Homo sapiens. Next base: position 21,538 of record NT_187548.1, on the reverse strand, counting down.
CGAAGCACACCCGGGCGTACACACCGGTGAACATGTGAAACACAGCCGTCACATGTAGCAGGGCAGACGGCAGTGACGGTGAGAAGCTGCCTTCCAGGAGTCCCGTATGCGTGATTTTTTTTTTTTTTTTTTTTTTTTTTTGGAGACGGAGTCTCACTGTGTTGCTCAGGCTGGAGTGCAGTGGCGTGATCTCAGCTCACTGCAACCTCCACCTCCCGGGTTCAAGTGATTCTCCTGCCTCAGCCTCCCGAGTAGCTGGGATTAGAGATGCATACCACCACGCCTGGTTAATTTTTGTTTTTAGTAGAGATGGGGTTTTGCCATGTTGCCCAGGCTGGTCTCGAACTCCTGACCTCCAGTGATTCCTCCCCCCACCCCCGTCTCGGCCTGCCAAAGTGCTCAGCCTCCCAAAGTGCTGGGATTACGGGCGTGAGCCACCACGCCTGGCCGTGATTTTTAAAATAACCCAGGAATCTGAGTGAGCAGTGAAGGAAGCCCAGATGCCAAGAAACATGTGTGGGCATCAATTATGATCACTGAGGTCCTCTCCACCTAAACACTTGCTGTAATTTGGTGATATTTATCTTATCCCAACCTGGGGAGTTTTAGTCTTAGTCTTTGTATCTTATCAGCTCTGGCTTGGAGGAAAGTCTCTCCTGGCTGGAAATGAAAGTGTGAATCAGCAGTGAGTTGCTGCTCTCACTTCCAGGTGAAGGGGCTCAGGTTCATCCTCCGCTCAACTCAACGTGCGGTCGGCCTTGGGTCCCCAGGCCGGAACTGGCCTGAGACACGGAAACTCCCACAGCTTCTGCACCCGACCACTGAGGCCTGCTTCTGCCTGAGCTGCAGCAGCCATGTTCCAAATGTGTGGTTTGTGGTGAAATTTCACTGGGAAATCAGAAAAGATCACAAAGCGACCTCGGCTCAGGGATTTCTGTGGACATCTGTTTCCCACGCAGGCCTTGTCTGGGGACAGGGGATGCGATCGTTGGGCATGGTGACTGATGCTTCTGCAGAGGCTCGAGGGCCGTTAGGTGTCCTGCTGTCCACAGCCCAGGGGGCTCACACACCTCTTTGCCTGCCCCTGAGAAACCCAGAGAACTGCTTCTCCACTGCACTGCAGTCTTCCATGTGTGGCTTTCAGCTGCTTCTGGAAGAATCTGCATGCCTTCGTGGGTGTTGTCAGTGAGTGTGCAGGGAATACTCCCTGAGGGAAGTCTCCGCCATCTGGTAGGCCACAAGATGCCCCTCTGTGGCCTGGTCCCGCGGGCTTCCCCTTCTCCAGCCTGGTCATGCAATGCCAGACTCTCTCCTGATGGTTCTCACCAGGGATGCGTCCTCCCTCCTGCCAGGACACCTGCCACTGCCCCTGACTGCCCTGCCTCCTGCCCCGTCCATGGGGCTGCGTGCATATGGAAGGCGCTTTGTGTGTGCCAATCAGCCCCGAGAAGGAAGGAGGGTTCCCCTGTCCATTCCTCTACCCAGGATCCCCAGCTCCTGGGGCAGTGCTGAGACATGCTGCTATTACCTGCCCAAGTCCCAAGTTCCCAGGGACAGCAGGCCAGCTGGGTCTACCACCTCATAGCTGCCCAGGACAGTCCCCAGCCCTGGGCTCACAAAGCTAAATAAATAAATCTTTTATTTGTTTATTTATTTATTTATTTTTGAGAGAGTCTCAGTCTCTCACCCAGGCTGGAGTGCAGTGACATGATCTCAGCTCACTGCAACCTCTGCCTCCTGGGTTTGAGCGATTCTCCTGCCTCAGCCTCCCGAGTAGCTTGGATGACAGGCACCCACCACCACGCCCGTCTAATTTTTTTTCTATTTTTAGTAGAGACAGGGTTTCACCATGTTGGCCAGGCTGGTCTTGAACTCCTGACCTCAAGTGATCCGCCCACCTCAGCCTCCCAAAGTGCTGGGATTACAGGCGTCAGCCACTGAGCCCAGCCTAAAGCCGCTTATCTTTAAGATGGAGGCCTCGGCCCCTTCAACAGGTTGTGCAGCTCTTGTGGTGGGGGGAGTCCCTTTCCATGGCCCACCTCATCCACCGCTGGGGACTCCCTGGGGTCCCAGCAACAAGGACCCACTCCTTCCCCTGCCCGGTGCACAGGTGTAGATGCCAGGCAGATTGGGTTGGGGGTGTACTGCACATTTTCCTTGCAGCAGCGGACGTGGACTCAGGGAACGAACCCAGTCCTCAGTCTTCAATTCTCAGCCCACAAAAGGGGCTTTCTACCTTGAGGAAGGAACCCCTCATTTAACATCTTTTTCTTCAAGTCTTCACCACATCATGGATGTCTGTACGATGAGATTGCAGCAGGCACAGAAGCCTGAGGGTACTTGGTGGGAGGAGGCCTGGGGATATTGAGGGACCACATGGCAGGCAGTGGTGGGCAGATTGTGAGTTCTATCCTGATGGGCGCCCACAGGCAGCAGGACCCCTGGAGGCGGCCGTGCCTCCATCTCCTAAAGAAAGGCAGCGCTCACTCATGCTGGGAACGTGTGGGGCAGCATTTACAGCCCAGGTTGTGACAAGGATGTATAAGTCACTGTGCCTGAGTCACGGAAACCCAATGGTGTTTATCACTTCTTCCCTGAGAGAGATGAGGGGACCAGGCACGGCGCTTACCATGAGGGTCAGGGAACTGCACTCAAGGCCTGGACTGGGTTCCATCTTCCCATAGCTGTCAGGGAAGGAAGCTGGCCCTCCCATTCCTCCTGGAGGGACCAGGCCACCAGGTCTTTGATCCTGAGAGGCATCTTTGCCAAGGAGCAAAAAGGATGGTGTCTGCTCAGGGCATAGCCCAGGAGACTTCCACCCATTGCCCCTTAGGAGCCCCTTAGGAGGCAGCAGATGGGCTCAGCACAGGTGGCTGGAAGGGTCCAGTCCCTCCATCCCCAGGTCTCTCAGAGGAATCGCATAGTTCTCCCTCTAACCCAGGACCTAAAAATCTCCAGCTTGCCTCCAAGAAGAATCCTGCTGGCCATTTCCCAAGGCACACCCAGACCACAAGAGGCTGGAGGGTCTGCCCACATCCTTGCCTGGGTGCACCTACCCCATTAATGTTCCCTGCAGCCCAGGGCTCCTCGGCAAAAGCCTCGTGAAGTCACGTGTCCAGTTTTTGGGGAGTTAGTTTAGTTAAAACTGGACATCACGATCTGAAGTCCTCATGTCCATCTTGGGTGAGCTGTGGAGTGGAGCTGGTATAGCTGGGTGCTGGAGGGTCCCAGTGGGTCTCTGGGATTCTCCTGGCAACAGGGGAGCCTGCTGGGCTGCCTAAACAGTGCCTGCTGGGCCAAGCCTATTGCTTAGAGAGCAACTGCAGCAGTCCTTGTGTTATAGTTTCTTTTCTCACCTCAGAGGGTCAGGGTGGATATGTCCAGGATCCCCTCTTCAGTGGCAGTTTTGGGAGTTACTAAAAGAGGCTCTTCCCACCCCACTGCCAGAATAGTGAATTGCAGTGAGGCATCCCTGACCCCACCGCCCCACACATGGCCCCAGGTGGACACAAATAGTCTTTTCTGCAGAATGTGAGAGCCAGTCCTCCCTGCCTTGGACATCCGGCTCCCCACCCTGGGTAGTGAGGCCAGGCATTCCTGCAACTCTCTCCTGTGGGTGGTGTCTTGAGTCTCTGCAACCATGGACACAGGTGGCAGCAATGTACTTGGATTCCGACGAAGGGGGTGCCCATGGCTGAGGCAGGACTGGGTTCACAGCCATCCAAGTTAGCATCTGGGAGAGTTGGCTCATGCTCCAGAGAGCCTCCTCCCTTCAAGTCTTGGTGACTTGTCAGGGGATTTTTAGCACGAGGTGGTTGCCTCACCAAGGGAGCAGCATTCTTGGGCCTTGTAAACTGTCTGGACACCGCAAAGCATTGATGCCTCCCTGGACAGCATGGGCCTGGCTCTGCCAACACATCCGTCATCCTACTACACACTTCCAGCAAACAGGGATGATGCTTTTCATCCAAGGTCAAGGTTGGTGGGGAAGGGCTCTGTCTTGGCCCATGGGCCTGCAGGTCTGTCTCTGAGTTGGGACAGCTGCTGGAAGGCCCCACTAAACTAATGTAAGATACTCGGAAAGTTTGTCACCAGGGGAAGAAAGCATTCTGGACTGCATCATTGGTGTCAGATTCCACTGTGTGTTTAGAAGGCACAGTTTGTTTCCGAGAGTCTCAAAATGTAAGCAGCAAACACCCTGCCAAGCTGCAGACATAGGGCAGATACAGAGAGGGGTGAAGAACTGGAGCAACTGAAGGCACTTCCCATGGATGCTGCGGGGAGAGGACCTCTTCCTGGGAGCTGAGGGCCAGGATCCCCCTGAGGCCCTCTCTGGTCAAATGAAAATGGTTCCTGTCTTATATATTAGGTGAAAGTTTGGATCTCTGTTCTGTAAACTGGCCAGGACTGCACAACAACCTCCCAGTGGCCCATGGAGTGGCACCCTCACGGGGTGAAGCCGCCCCCAGCACCAGTGCAGCCAAAGCTCCGGCTCCTTGGGTGAGCTGGAGAGGAGGAGGCACTTCAGCAGGGGCTGGGGGTGCTGTGTGATTTGCCTGAGAAGCTGCTTCTGTTAACGAAGTCCTGTGCCTGGTGGGAACTCGGGTCGGCCATGAGGAGGATGCACCCATGTCCTCACGCCTGTGGCTGGGTCTCCTCCTCATCTTGTGGCAGCGCCAGACATTCCAGAACATGGGTTCAGGAAACTTGGACTGGGTCTGAACCAGCAGGAAGCATGCCAAGAAACCTCCTCCCACCGTCCTGCTCTTCTCTCCCTCCCTCCCTCTTCCCTCCCTCCCCCGTCCCTCACTCTTCCCCTTCTCCCCCGTCCCCCTTTTCCTCTTTCTCTCTGATCACCAGTCTTCTGAGTTATCACAACCAAGTGAGACTGACTCAAGCTATTATTGAAAATATGGCCACATCGAATGTTTTTCTGATAAAAAGAAGAACATAAGTAATTGGGGCAGGGGGTGAGGTGAGGACCTGGCGGATGCCTTGGAGGCAACACGAGGGTGGATTTGCTTGGGCAGAGCTAAGCCAGTGAGGCCATCTCCACTCAGGCCCGATGGAGTGGAGGGCACTGCCTTGATCCAGTGGAGCCCGTGGACTGTGCCTTTTCCCAGACCTGATGCCTCTCCCACCCCTGCCCCTGTTGCCCCAGAGCCAGGTGAGGGCAGATGGCCCAGGGCCACCTCAGACCCCCACTGGGAGAGCAGCCAAAGCCATGCCCAGTACCAGTAGCAGTGCCTCATGTTCTGAAGATCTGCCTTGTGGATAAAAATGCCTCATCCATTCTTACCGCTATGGAATATTCACTTATAGACATTTATCACTTTTTCCAGGTTATAGTTTTGTGAAATAAAATGTTTATTATTTTTTGTTATGAAAGTGCTGTATGATCATTGTAAAAAAATTAGAAAAATGTGGAAAAATGTGAAGAGAAAAATAAAAATTCCCTCCCCCCCCCACAGATTCCCATCTCCCAAGATAATCACCTAATTATCTGCAGTTTTGTTTCCTACTTATTTTACTGAAAATCATTTCATGCTCATTTCTTTATATGTTGTCAACTGAAGATTCATGAGATTCATAAACATGGAAGGGAGAGCTTTATTTCTCTAAAGAGTTGCAGCCTGCAAGTAACCATCCACAGGCTGGGAGGTGTGGCCTCCACCCTAAACCGGAAGCAGGCACTTTGAGGGTGGGGAGGATGAGACAGGAATGTGCTGACCGTGGTGGCTGAGAGGCTACAGGAGGCACTGTGAGTACTCTACAAGGGTGAGGGGCACGCATGCACAGTGAGCTCACATGTGTGTTACATGTGTCCTGTGTTCACTTTGGGGTGGAGACTTCACATTTAAGTGCATTGAAATGAGGCTCTGTAGGTCAAAAGGTGAAATGAAGGACACAGAGGCATCCTGTGTGCAGCCTCTACACCAGCTAGAACCAGTCCACAGTCAGGATCTGTTATCAGGAAGGAATGCTGGCTGGTTGTTGTGTCAAAACTACACGAGGGGTGGGGAGTCTGGCAAATCTTTCAAAAGGGCTTTCTGTTTACCCTTAGGAAAGAAACTCAATGGCAGCGGTTAGTGAGGGAGGGGGCATAATGAGGTCTGTCTGGCATTTCATCCCTTCATGGCTTGGAACCCAGTGTTTAAGGTTTCTCTGGAGTCCCCTTGGCCAAGAAGGGGTTCATTTAGTCAGTTGGAGGTCTTGGGATTGTATTTTTATTTCTCAATGTTCAAATATTCTTTAAAAGTGCACTTTACCCTTCTGCCTGGTCCTTGAAGGTACAAATGTAGGGACATGGGTTTCACCATTTCTTCCCATCAAGCAGCTACATTGCTTTTAGTTTGCCATTGCAGGTAACATTGTATTGGGTGGCCTCCTTCACAAATTCCTGTTTATGTTTCTAAGTGATTCCTGAAACATTCCTCTTCCCTGGAAGAGGATGGAACTGCTTTTGTTCTTAGAGGTGCAGCCGCTCAGAAAGCTGTTGCCAGCCCACATGCCCACATGCCCACCAGCCACACAGGGGCAAGCTCGTTTCCTTTCCAAACTGTAGCAAACTGAAAAACAAAGTCTCATGATGGTTTCAGTGTTTGTTTCCTTGGTCATGGGCAAGGTTGACATCTACGTTGAATGTCTACAGTTATATTTCTCTTTCCATTATGGTGTTGTTTTCTTGATTAGTAAGAGCTTTTCCTCTGTGAAGGATATGTTTTCTCTGTAATTTTGCTGCAAACATTCACCCAGTTTGCTATTACATTTATCTGGTTTTTGATTTTTTTTGTGTGTGTGTGTGATGGGAGTCTCGCTCTGTTGTGCAGGCTGGAGTGCAGTGGCGCAGTCTCGGCTCACTGCAACCTCTGCCTCCTGAGTTCAAGCCATTCTCCTCTCTCAGCCTCCCAAGCAGCTGGGACTACAGGCACATGCCACCACGCCCGGCTAATTTTTTGTGTTTTGAGTAGAGATAGGGTTTCACCATGTTGGCCAGCCTGGTCTTGAACTCTCGACCTCAGGTGATCCACCCACCTTGGCCTCCCAACATGCTGGGATTACAGGCATGAGCCACCATGCCTGGCCCTGTTTTTTGATTTATAGAAGCTTAACATCTCTATGTAGTAAAAGAAAAAAAGTACATTCTTTTCTTATTTAATAGTGTAATCGGGAATCTTTGCCATTGGAATGGGCTGCTCCACGGTGTAGGTGTGAGTGATACCTGCCCAGTGGTGTTTCAAGCACCCTGCTCACTGCTGGGTCACCAGGTGGTGCTACAAGGTTGCCAGGGACCAGCCATGGCCCGTGTCCTTAGCTGCCTCTGCTCCCCTGGAGCTCACAACCTCAGCAGGATGGGGGTGGAGTGGGGTCTAGACTTTGGGTCCATTCCCTTCTGACTCATTTGCTGCTAGAAACGATTTGTGGCATCCAGGGGGCATTGTGTGCATGTGCTGTGGGGTAAGCACAGGGCTGGGCATCTGTGGGTGATGAACAGGTATGCCTGAGGGTGCTCACCGCCCCAGCAAGCAGGTGGCAGCAGGTCCTGGCTGTCTAGAGCACAGGACATTCACATGTGGAAGCTGGGCTGGGGCAGGTGGCCCCTTTGCACCTGCAGCAGAGCTGGCTTGGTGTCCGGCTGGAGGTAAGGACAGCCAGGTGGAGAGGGGGCGATGAGGGTGGATGGAGTTGCCCCTGAATGGAGATGTAGGCTCTGAGAGTCTTCCGTAGCCTTCCCAACAATGCCCTCCTGCAGGCAGGCCCAGGCCCACTGAGGTTTCCTCCTGCAGACAGCCCACCTGCCACCAACCCAGGCACTGACTGTCTCCTTAGAAACCAGTCTCCAACTCTTGGGCTGCAAAAGGAGATTGTGGCCACACTAGCTTCCGGGTTTGAAGTCCCCCAGGCCAGTGGGACATGGTGTAGGAAGCGGCCTTCTTCTTAGTGTTTCCCTCCAGAAGGCTGTGGGGAGGTGGAAGGGGCAGGCCTGCAGCCCCACCAGGCGGCCACAGTGAGGCTGGCTGGCCCAACTCACCCCTCCCAGGAAAAAGGATGGAGCACCCCTGGCCTCTGGTACCCACGGAGCCACTGGCAGGAGGCAGCCTGAAGTCCAGGCTGTTTCTCAGTTGGGCCAGACCAGTTGTCCCAGATGAAAGAGGTTGCCAGGCAGCTTTCTCTTGAGGCCTCCTCATGGCTGTTGACCAGAAGGCCACCTGCCCATGGGCTGTCATGTCTGTTTCCTGGAGCCTCAGGCCCACCCAATGGGCAGCACTCTGCATGGACTCTGAACACTGCATGGGGCCTGGGCATGGACACTGTGGGCTCCCAGCTGGCTGAGATGTGGAAGCGCTCTATGTGGGGGGCCCTCACCATGGGTGAGCCCAGGGTCCACTGAAGTAGAGGAGAGTTGTACCTGATGACACTTCTCTGCATACCTGCCCTCCAAACATGCACACACACGTTCACATGCATGCACACAGCACATGTACCCATATACAAGTTCACACAAGCACACACAGAGCCTGTGCACGGGGATAGATGCCTTTTGCATTTTCAAGGGCTCCATTGCCCTCTGCATGTAACACGCCCCACTTCCTGGGCCCTGAGCTTGGTTTAATGCTCTGCTGTTGCTGTCTTGAAATTCTTAACTTTTGAACAAGGGGTCCTACATGGACATCTTTCCCTGGGTCCTGGAAATTCTGTGGCAGGTCCTGCTTCCATGGCCTCTTATGGAGCAGGATCTATCCTAACAGAAGGCCAGCCTGGGAGCTGGTCCTTCCTCGCTCCTGGATGAGAATGGGCATTAGCCCTCCCAGGTACTCCCTGCTCCCCTCCCCTCCTCTCTCCCCTTCATTCTCCCTTCCCCTCCCTCCTTTCTCCCCTGGTCTCTCTGTCCTCTCTCCCCTACTCTCCTATCTCTCTTCCCTCCTTTCCTCTCCTCTCTCCCCTCCTCCCCTGGAGCCTGCAGGTACCTCCCATTTATAAAAGTTTCTTGCCGTGTAAGGGTCTCTGTGCAATTTGCAGGCAGAGTTCAGCCTTTGTGAAAAAGCCCTGTGAGGGGGCAGTGCATGCTGGGTCCTGGCTGTCATTCCCGTCCCACCGCTGACCCACTGGCCCTGCAGAACCTGTGTCACTCGTTCCTCCTCCAGACCCCATATCTCTTCCACATTGGGCAACTTGAGAGCGACAGACTGAGAGGTGGGGCTAGCTCGACTCCGATACTCTCTATCAACCAAGTCTGAAAAAATGGGTTTAAAGAGGTCGCTGCTGCTGTCTGGCTACTTCCTGCTTGCACAAGCTCTCCTGGAAATGACCACAGATTCCATCATCCTGGCTGACAGTCAGGGAGTGGGGGTGGAGGTTGAACTCCAGCCTTCTCCTCCCTGCTGTTTCTCTAAGAGCAGAGGGTGGGCTGTCCTCTCTGCAGTCACCCCAGAAATGGTTTCCTCGGGAACAGCCTGGGTGAGGAGTAGGAGGTGGCTCTGTGCCCATCCAGCTGCTCACGGCTGCTCAGCCGGGCCTCACAATCTGGGGTCATTTTCTTTTTTTTTTTTTTTTTGAGACGGAGTCTCGCTCTGTCACTAGGCTGGAGTGCAGTGGTGCGATCTCAGCTCACTGCAAGCTCCACCTTCTGGGTTCACGCCATTCTCCTGCCTCAGTCTCCTGAGTAGCTGGGACTACAGGCGCCCACCACCACGCCCGGCTAATTTTTTGTATTTTTAGTAGAGACGGGGTTTCACCATGTTAGCCAGGATGGTCTCGATCTCCTGACCTCGTGATCCCCCCGCCTCGGCCTCCCAAAGTGCTGGGATTACAGGCGTGAGCCACCGCGCCCGGCCGACCTGGGATCATTTTCTTCTGAACAACAGACCCCAAATCCAGGATTCTCCTTCATGGTGTCCCGGGACTCGACAAGGGTCCTCAGGGCAAACACCTGATGTGGCCCAGGCCTTCCATCAACAGTCGGTCCTCAGAGCCTGGGAACTTCAGAACCCCTCCCGCTCCCTGGTAACTCAGAGTTGCCGAGCATGTCACACCGTTCCCGAGAGCAGGGACCCCGTGTTACTCAGGGCACACAGTAAGTGCTTAATAACCATGCTGCACTGTGGAATGGAAGTGACCTGTTCTCTTTCCTGGGTTTTCCAAGTGTCCATAGATATGTCCCAAGAGGGAATGCACTTAAAAAAAAATCAACTCCCCTTCTACACAAGCCCTCCCTCCCTTGCCTGTTGCCCTGGCCACCTGCTTTTTCTCCCCAGTGAGTACAGGGGGCTCCCAGCTGCTCGGCAGTGATGGACAAAAGAGCCTTGCTCTGCTGCCCTGGGGGTTTCTGTCCTGGGCTTCTCTCCCGCAAGCCCATGGACACTTGGTGCTAAAAAGTTTTCGCCCAGCAGAAATTGCCTCTTTAATTTTAATGCTTATAACTTCCAGGAACTTCATTAAAGATAAGCCCCTCTCCTGGGATTCTAGTTGCCAGTTATTCCTCATTATTTCCCAACCCTGCCGGACATCCCAGGCCTCACGGCCTCTCAGCTGCACACAGGGTTCAGCCCCCAGAGCTGCCTTTCTGCTCCTTGGCAGCCGTTCCTTCAGTCTCACTGAGGAGTAGGAGACAGAGAATGTTCTGTGGGACCACAACCGAGACAGAAGAGCTCTGGATCGAAGGGGTTAAAAACCACCACTTTTATTTTAAAAAAAAAAAAAAAAAGCACAACAGGACAGACCCGTGGTTCTGTTCCTGTGCCACTGAGGGATGCCTGACCTTGCACAACTTAGGGTCATCTCGATTTCTTTATCGCAGAGGCTGGGGGTGGAGCCATGCCATTTCTGATGGGACCTGTGCAGGAGGGGTCGCCCGGGTGGGCACAGTGCCGCTCTCTTTGCTCTCCCTGGAAGATGGGCTTGGTCTGCAGTCCACACATCTCAGTCCTTACTTGCCCATGTACCAAGGTCCTGGGCACTCCACCTCCCCTTGGGCCAGACAGACCCTGATGCTGCCTGGGAGCCTGCAGAGAGAGGCGGTGCAGATGAAGGCCACCAGGTTCCAGAAGCCCCCTGCCAGGGCATCCTCTTGGCTCAGTCCCATAAAATCACTGTGGGGAGCAGGAAGTATCTGGGCCAGGCCCCCTGATCTTCAGGGCTAACCCTGGGCCAGGATGGAGATGAGGTGTACGGTGGAATTCTGCACTGGTGAGAAGTCCTGGAAGGGCTGAGAGCCGGGGAAGGGATTGCATTGGTTTCTTTCTGATCATCAGAGGGTGTGATGGGCATGCAGGTCCTCATCGCCAGTCTCCTCTGCTCCAGCACCCAGGGGCTCGGCGTCTGCCCACTGGTCCCTACCCCTCCTGGGGTTGGGGGTGGCACTGAGGGAGGAAACAGAGGCCTCCCAGGGCCAAGCCACACAGGCCAGCTCCATCTGTCTCACCCACCTCCCTGAGCTCACCATGGGCTGTGGGCCATGGCTGGTGGGCCAGGTGTGCTAAGTCCCCAGGCCTGGCCCCACAGCTTGTGGGCAGTGGTGGGGACAGGATGTGACAGCCGACCTCCTCTGGTACAAGCCTGTCTGCACCTGCCCCCTGTGACTGGGAGGCTCAGCTTCCCAAGCATAGCTGAGCTCCAGGGACAGCCACTCATAAACCTAAAAATTGGCCGGGCGTGGTGGCTCACGCCTGTAATCCCAGCACTTTGGGAGGCTGAGGCGGACGGATCATGAGGTCAGGAGATCGAGACCGTCCTGGCTAAAACTGTGAAACCCTGTCTCTACTAAAAAATACAAAAAAAATTAGTTGGATGTGGTGGCGGGCACCTGTAGTCCCAGCTACTTGGGAGGCTGAGGCAGGAGAATCACTTGAACCCAGGAGGCAGAGCTTGCAGTGAGCCGAGATGGTGCCACTGCACTCCAGCCTGGGCGACAGAGCGAGACTCCGTCTCAAAAAAAGAAGAACATGAGTTCCTCTGTGGTTGGGTGGAGGGTTCTGTAGGCATCAGTCAGATCGTGCTGATCGATGTTGTCCAATGTTCTTTATTTTTTTTATTTTTTTGAGACGGAGTCTCGCTCTGTTGCCCGGGCTGGAGTGCAGTGGCGCGATCTCGGCTCACTGCAAGCTCCGCCTCCTGGGTTCATGCCATTCTCTTGCCTCAGCCTCCCGAGTAGCTGGGACTACACAATGTTCTTTCTTGCTGCTTTGTCTGCTTGCTCTTTTTTCAATTATTGAGAGAGTGATGTTGAAATCTCTTACTGTAATTGTGATTTTAAAAATTTCTCCTTGCAATTCTATCAATTTTGTTTCAAGTATTTTGAAGCTTTGTAATTACGGGCACAAATAATTAGGACTGCTATGTCATCTTGATAAATTGCCTCTTTATGAAATGTCGCTTTTTTACCCTTGGTAATATTCTTTGCTTTGACAGGAGGGGTGCTGGGGGCTTGATGCCACCAAGGACCCCAGACCAAGTCATCTTTTTTTTCTCGCTCAGCTTTGAAGGGAAGTTAAAGACAAAGAGGAAGAGGCTGTATTTCATTCTCCCAGATGGCTCCTGCCAGCCTCCAGAGAAAAGGCAGCTTTCTTCTTTAGAAAATTGGCAGGACAAAAGAAGGAAGTCGACTTGGAAAGTCCAGCGACAGACCTCGTGCCCCTGCTCTGGGAGGCCGCAGGTCAATGGCTCCCCCTGGCTTCAGGGGACACAGCTCAAGCCTGGAAGGAGCCCATGGCCAGCCTGAAAGCCTTGCTCACACCCAGCATCCGCAGCTGGGGCAAGAGCGGCTACTCCCAAGACAGGAAAAGACACACAGCCTAACTTTGCCACTGTGAAGGGAGACTTCTCTCTAATGCCTAACTAGACACTTATCTTCCAACCTCCTCAAAATGCCTTCAATAGAAGTCCCAGGAAGACACGGAGCCCCAGCCGCCCACTGACTCCTACAGGATGCAGCTGCGCCAGGCAGCCCATCCCAGGGGGCCCAGGCCAAAGAGGGGCCAGGGTGCTTCCCCTGAGAATGAAAAGGGATGTCGGGTAGAGGGGGAGGGTGATGTGGGACTCGCTGGTGGCTGTTAAAGGAGCTCGCGTCTCGGTTCCTGCAGGAAAAGTGCTTTGAGCACTCGCCTGGCCTGGTGAAGAAGGAAGGCAGTTGGCGGGCATTTTTGGAAGCTCTCACCCCCCATGCTGGTCCTGGTACCCCTTCTCCAGGGATGCGGGGCCCACATTCATCACAGTGGGGTTCCATAGATGATGGTCCTGTCATATCAGGGTTCCCATTGAAGGGGGCCCTTTTTGGCACTTTCTTTTATTCCATTAGTCTGTTTGCCTGGTCACACATTTTATTGCTTTTTCCCGCAAAAGAATCAATGTGGGAATTTATTTATTTATTTATTGAGACGGAGTCTCACTCTGTCACCCAGGCTGGAGTGCAGTGGTGCAATCTCAGCTCACTGCAACCTCCGCCTCCCTGGTTCAAGCAATTCTCCTGCCTCAGCTTCCCAAGTAGCTGGAATTACAGGCATCTGCCACCATGCCCGGCTAATTTTTTGTATTTTTTGTATTTTTTTTTTTTTCTGAGATGGAGTCTCTCTGTGTTGCCTAAGCTGGAGTACAGTGGCGTGATCTCAGCTCATTGCAACTTCTGCCTCCCAGGTTCAAGCAATTCTTCCTGCCTCAGCCTCCCAAGTAGGTGGAATTACAGGTGCCCACTACCATGCCTGGCTAATTTTTGTATTTTTTAGTAGAGACGGGATTTCACCACATTGGCCAGATTGGTCTTGAACTCCTGACCTCATGATCCACCTACCTTGGCCTCCCAAAGTGCTGGGATTACAGGTGTGAGCCACTGCACCTGGCTGATTTTTTATATTTTTAGTAGAGACGGGTTTCACCATGTTAGCCAGGATGGTCGCAATCTCCTGACCTCGTGATCCACCCACCTTGGCCTCCCAAAGTGCTGGGATTACAGGTGTGAGCCACTGCGCCCAGCCAGGAATTTATTTTTAAATTAAATTTGATTTATTTAGTTTCCTAACCCTTTTATTGTTTTTAGGCAATTTTTTGAAGTATAATATGAATAAGAAAATTATGGTGAATTGTTACAGCATCGAGACCTCCAAGACCAGGACATAGAACAATCCCAGCCCCCAGAAACCTCCACCCCATAAGGCTCCACAACCCCTCTTCTAACACACAGATTACCTTCAGCTCTTCTTGAACTTCATATAAGTGTGAAACTCACCCATGCTGTTGAACACAGCACTGTTTCATTCATGTAAGCGGCCTTATAGTATTCCATTATGTGAACGCAGTTTATTATCCGTTCTGTTAATCACAGTAGTTTTTACCTGTTGTGAGTAAGGGTGTCACAAACAGCCTCATGTGTACTTTGTGGCAGATGGAATTCTTGTACAGATGTGGAACATACACTGGATTTGAAGTGCTGGGTTATAGAGTATGCACATGCTCAGCTTTATCAAACAGGGCTTAACAGCTTTTCAGAGTGGCTGTGCCAACTCACACTCTCCAACAGTCTATGGGAGTTCCAGTTGCCCCACACCCTTGCCACCACTTGCAATTGTCAGCTGTAAATTTTAGCCATTTTGTCGGGTGTATATTGGTATTTTATTGTGTTTTTGATACTCGTTGCTCCCGCAATCGTTGAAGTTGAGCACGGTTGTATATGCTTATTGGCAATTTGGATACTGTCTTTGCGTTTTCAAAAATTGGGTTTTTGTCTTTTATTGATTTGTAGAATTTCTTTATTCTGAATTTGAGTTCTTAGTTGTGCTTGTGTGTGTGCACATAGTAAACACACACACAGGTTAAAATAATTGGGAGATCATTAGAATGAGATGACCCCAGCGCCTTGGGTTTCAACTCAAGCAAACCAAAGTCCATCTCAGTGTACATGGTTATAGTTCAGGTAAGCAGAAACCACCGGCTGATCTCTAACACGGGGCTTTTGACTGGAATGATTTCTTTCCCTTTCTTTCTCTTTCTTTCTTTCTCTCTTTCTCTCTTTCTTTCTCTCTTTCTCTCTTCCTTTCTTTTTTTCTTTCCTATCTTTCTGCCTTTCTTTCCTTCCTTCCTTCCATCCTTCCATCTCTTTCTTTTTCTTTTCTCTTTCTTTTCTTTCTCTCCCTCTCTCTTTCTTTCCTCCCTCCCTTTCTTCCTTCCTTCCTTCTTTCCTTCCTTCCCTTCCTCCTTCCCTCCTTCCCCTCCCTCCCTAAAATTCATAGAATAAAAAAATGCCTGAATAGCCAAAGTAATCCTAAGCAAAAAGAACAAAGCTGGAGGAATCACATTACCTGACTTCAAATTATCTTACAAGGCTATGGTAACCAAAACAGCATGGTATTTAGGATTGTTTTCCCAATTCTTTGAAAAGCGATGTTGGTATCTTCATAGGAATTGCATTGAATCTGTAGATTGCTTTGGGTAGTGTGGTCACTTTCACAATATTGATTCTTCCAATCCATGATCATGGGATGTATTTCCGTTGGTTTGTGTCATATACAATTTCTTTCAGCAGTGTTTGCTAGGTCTCCTTGTAGAGATATTTCACCTCTTGGTCAAGTTATTTCTAGTTATTTTATTTTACTTTTTGCAGCTATTGTAAAAGAGCTCGGGTTCTTGATTTGATTCTCAGCTTGGTCATTGTTGGTGTATAGCGGTGCTACTGATTTGTGTACATTGATTTTGTAACCTGAGACTTCACTGAATTCATTTATCAGCAATTCATTCATTTTTAGAGGATACTTGGTCCATGCACATGTCAGAGATTGTTGTAATGTTTCTTTCTTGCAATGATCTCATCACATTTTAATCACAAAGTCAGGCTAGTCTTTTAAATAAAGTTGCAAAGCATTAATCATTTTTTCTCTTCTCTGGAAGAGTTTGTGTAAGATTGGTGTTTTTTCTCCCACAAACGTTTGGAAGAATGGTTTGCTGGTGGAGCCAACTGGACCTGAAGTTTTCTCTGTGGGAACATTTTAAATAAGATTGTTCAGGACTCATAAATTTTTCTTGCATCAGTTTTGGCAAGTTGTGTTTTTCAGAGTTTGTTCAATTTTTCTAAATTGTCAAATTTATTGGCATAAATTGTTCAGCATATTCTTTTATTATTAACTTAGTATCTGTGGGATCTTTAGTGATGTCTCCATTTTCATTTTTGATATAGTTAATGTTGGGAGAAAAGCTGAGTGTTGGGAGAAGCTGAGGCAGGGCTTGCATGTCTGACATAATGTAAAAGAGTCTTGGAACATGTCCGGGGTCCAGGATCTAAAACTCCTCGTGGCCTTTGGAACACCGAGCTCTGTGCTAAAGAGTGGAAGCCTACCCTGATGCACCATAATCTAAGCCCAGGGCATAAAACCCCTCATGGCTTGGATGGAATCCAGGTCAGAAACTATGTTCTGTATGTTTTCAACACCACCAATTTTGGGGGGACTCTTTAATGATCCAATGGGCCATTAGTTTTGGTAATGTTCCTTGTCTACTTGGAGAAATTCATAGGCTGAAGTCAGTCCTCATGCACGGGGCTCTGTCCATGCTGACCAAGTCAAATTTGTTGATCATTTTTCCCAAACATTCTGCTGGTTTTCTGTTTGCATGAGACACCTTTCCTATCTGTTGGGAGCAGGCCCCCCAAAATCTGGTCATAAACTGGCCCCAAAACTGGCCATAAACAAAATCTCTGCAGCACTGTGACATGTTCATAATGGCCATAACGCCCACACTAGAAGGTTGTGGGTTTACGGGAATGAGGGCAAGGAACACCTGGCCCGCCCAGGGTGGAAAACCGCTTAAAGGCATTCTTAAGCCACAAACAATAGCATGAGCGATCTGTGCCTTGAGGATATGCTCCTCCTGCAGTTAACCAGCCCAACCTATTCTTTTAATTCGTCCCATCCCTTCGTTTCCCATAAGGGATACTTTTAGTTAATTTAATATCTATAGAAACAATCCTAATGACTGATTTGCTGTTAATAAATATGTGGGTAAATCTCTGTTTCGGGGCTCTCAGCTCTGAAGGCTGTGCGACCCCTATTTCCCACTTCACACCTCTGTATTTCTGTGTGTGCGTCTTTAATTCCTCTAGCGCCACTGGGTTAGGGTCTCCCCGACCGAGCTGGTCTCGGCACTATCCTTCTGCCTTTAGGCACCTGCACTACCGAGTACCATCTAAAGGAACATATCATTTGTTTTGTTTTATTTTTATAATCCAGCATGACAATCTTTGTCTTTTAGTTGGAGTATTTGTGTAATTTATATGACTACATTAATTAACGATACTTCTGTGCTTAGATTTACCCCATTACAGTTTTCTTCATTGTGACCTCATTAGCTGGTTTTCATCTTTTCCTGTTAGTTTTTGATGAGTTAATACTTTTTCTTATTTTTCTCCACTAAGCTTTTAGTCATGTGCATTTTAAATCATTCTCTTAATGACTCCTCACCTGCATTGGTGATGTATCAGACTTAGCACACTTGCTCCTGGATGCAAGCACGTTATAATTCTTTAACCTCATTTTCCTATCCTGGCTTTTGCATCATTTTTCTGTATCCTAATTGTATGCATATTTAATTCTACAATATATCATTATTTTTATTGTTTTCAGTGGGTTTGCCCACAAGTTTACCTTTTCTATTGATTTTCAAATTTTCTCCTATTTTCTTGTGTTTGAAAACAAGATATTTTTGGATAATTTGCCTTTGGCCTGAAAAAGTTCCTTTACATTTATTTTAGTGAAGATTAGTGGTGATAAATTCCCTCAAACTTTTCATCTGAATACATCTTCAGTTCATGTTTATTTTCATAAAAATATTTTAACTGGATATAAGATTCTAGGTGAGCTGTTATTTTTAACCCCAGAATTTAAAAATACATCATTCAGTTGTCTTTCAGCTTCCATTATTTTCTGTTGAGAAGTAAAACATCAGCCTATTTACTGTCACAATTTTTCTCTTCCTTTTTATTTTTGACTGTAAGATGCCCAGGCGTGGTTTTCTTTGCATTCATTTTGCTTCATGTTTGCAGAGCTTCATAGATATGTGGTCTGATGTCTTTCATTGATTTTGGGAATGTCTTAACCAGTGTTTCTTTAAATATTCTTCTCCCTCATTCTCTCTCTTCTTCTTCTGGGACTCCAGTCCATACATGTCATGCATTTGCATCATGTCTCATACGTTGTCACGCCCTTTTTTCTACTTTTTTCCTTTTAGTTTTGATTGCATTATTCTTTATGTGTTCTACCTACCTAGCTTCTGGTTCACTGATCTTTATTCTGATGTTCAATCAGTTGCTAACCCCATCTTTTAAGTACTTTCAGTTAATACAGTTCTTAGTTCTAGTATTTCCATTTGATTTTCAAAAAACAAAAGACTTCAGTTATCCTGTAGTATTGTTCATATTGTCATGTGATTTTAACTAAAGTTAATTTAAAATCATATTTGGTAAGTCCAACATCTGCTCCTATTCAGTTCTGTTTATATTTCCTTTTTGTCTCTTGGTGATTGGCCTTGTGGTCTTTGGCATAGCCAGAAGTTTGTATTTTGGATGCTATGCATGAAAATAGAAGTTGTGGAGGATGTATCTTCCTCCAGAGGTGATTAAACCCACTTGTAGAGGAAGGTGAGCTCTTGGGTGAAGGGAACTAAACGCCCAAGCAATTTAAATATCACAAAAGAAAAAGCCACAAACTGGAAGGTGTATGACAGACATCTGAAGCAGGTGTGTTAGAATAGACACATGACTTAACATGAGTAGGATGCTCATATTTAACATGATAAGAAAAGATGTTAGCGGTGTGAAAAAGAAAAATGTCCTGAAAAAAGAACAAAGTGGAAATAATGGCTGTAAAAAAATACAATAGTTGAAAGAAAGAAGTATTTTGAGGGTATAATAAAAATAGTCTCATAAGCCTTCAGAAGACTTGCCAACAAAACCCACAATGAAAACATTTATGGAGAAAACCTCAAAATGAAAAGAAAAACAAATCCAGGAAAAGCTGCAAGAGATATGAAAAGAAAGAAAGAAAGATGAAGACTAAACTCTCGTAAAGTTTGTTGCCATCATTAAAAAAGGCCAGGACCAAAGAAATGTGCATAGACAAACACACAGACACATACACACCACACACTACACACACATAGACACACAAACACACACCACACACACACACACCACACACACTACACACACACCACACAGACACACACACACACACACCACACACACACCACACAGACACATCACACACACCACACAGACACAAACACACCACACACACACCACACTCACACAGACACACAAACACACACCACACAGACACACCACACACACACCACAGACACACACACACCACACACACACCACAAACACACACTACACACACACCACACACACAGACACACAAACACACACCACACACACACACACACCACACAGACACACCACACACACCAAAACCTAAAAACCACACATTGCCCCTGTGATGCAGATGATGGGCTGCTGGACCCAGCGATCTGGTCAGAGGCAAGGGGACTGCTGGACCCCTGGGATCCGGTGGGGGGTGGGGTGGGGCAAGGCTGCTGGACCCCCCTCTGTCCCCACTTGGGCTGCTGTCCCCCCCAGCATGTTCCACCTCCCACGTGGAATGGGGTCCGAGCCTCTGCTGTGGACGAGCGGCGTGGGTCAGTGGAAAGGGGTCCTTCTGCTTGCTGCCATGCCCCCGCCCTCACCCTGGACCACTTCACCAGCCAGCTCCCCTCCCAGAGGCCCCAGACTCCAATTCTGAGCCTCCTCTGTCTCTGCCCTGGCGCCCATGAGTACGTCCCCTCGAGCTCACAGCCAATGCCTCACGTCCCTGTCAGGGCTCTGTCCTCCAAACCCGCGGCCAACTCCCTGGACTAGGAGGAAAACCCTGGACCCCACCTTCCCCTCCCACTCCACCCCCAGCCATCCAGGTCCCCCTGCTGCCCCCAGACCTTCCTCCAGGGCGCCAGGGGCTCTGAACAGGCAGAGGCACAGGGAAAGCATGGGCCAAAACAGCAAAACCCAGCCCCGCGCAGCCCACATGGCGCCCCCCTTCCTTGCGGGCAGGGGTCCCACAGTGCCCCGGCCTTGGCGTCTTTGTGGCCCTGCTGCCCATTCAACTCGAGCTGCAGGTCCTGCCTCTGGGCCTCTGCCTGCCAGCCCCTCCCTGGAGATTCCCCGATGGCCTGCTCCAGGGCTGCTGAGTGGCCACAGCTTCTCATCCTGGCCAGCACAACACTTGCAGGGCGGGCACCCAGTGCGAGGGGCCTTTCCCCTCCCCGTTTCCAGCTCCCTCTACCCTCCCTCTACCTCTGCGACCACCTCCCCCAACATCTCTGCATCAGAGACACCATCCCAGTCCGCTAGGGGGCATCCCCGGCCCCTCCCCACAACACAGCCCCAGCCCAGGTCCCTCCTCCACACCCGGGCATCCTCGCCAGGTTACTGCCTCTCTCCATGGCACGGGCCGAGGGAGGCCTGGACCTCACTTGCAGCTGGGCCTGGAGCTGGGGAAAGGCCCTGGCACAGGAGTGCTGGGAAGCTGTGGAGAAAGGAATGGAGACCAATGCAGTGAAGGGGACGGGTGGGCTGAAGCAGGCCGGGGGCTCTGGACTGGTAGGGCTGATGCAGGCAGGGATCTTGGGATCTGTGCTTGGGGTGGGGCTGAGGCAGGCTGGGGTCTCTGGACAGGTGGACTGAGGCAGGCCGAGGTCTTGGGATCTGTGCTTGGGGTGGGGCTGAGGCAGGCTGGGGTCTCTGGACAGGTGGACTGAGGCAGGCCGAGGTCTTGGGGTCTCTGCTCGGGGTGGGGCTGAGGCAGGCAGGAGTCTCTGGACAGGTGGACTGAGGCAGGCCGAGGTCTTGGGGTCTCTGCTCGAGGTGGGGCTGAGGCAGGCAGGGGTCTCTGGACAGGTGGACTGAGGCAGGCCGGGGTCTTGGGGTCTCTGCTCGGGGTGGGGCTGAGGCAGGCAGGAGTCTCTGGACAGGTGGACTGAGGCAGGCCGAGGTCTTGGGGTCTCTGCTCGGGGTGGGGCTGAGGCAGGCAGGGGTCTCTGGACAGGTGGACTGAGGCAGGCCGGGGTCTTGGGGTCTCTGCTCGGGGTGGGGCTGAGGCAGGCAGGGGTCTCTGGACAGGTGGACTGAGGCAGGCCGGGGTCTTGGGGTCTCTGCTCGGGGTGGGGCTGAAGCAGGCTGGGGTCTCTGCTGGGGGGAATGCGATCTGGCGGTGGTAAGTGGTTTTGTTGTTGCCCTGGCCCATAAGCTTTCTCTGACCCCAGGCAAAAGGCTGCGCTGTGTGGCGCCCCTGGCTGGCCCTGGGAGAAGGAGCTCCGATAATGAGGGAGATCAAGAGGGCCCCAGATCCTGGCTGGGCCCTGGCGTCTGTTCCAGCTGCCTTCTTCCCACTCTGCCCCCTCATATGGAAATAATGTTGGACCTCATAAAAGATCCAGGTTCTTGTTTCAAATTATGAAACAAACATTCTCCTTGATTAATACCATGTCAAGCCACCAGTGAGGTTTT